>NT_167245.2:1638534-1831105 GCF_000001405.40 Homo sapiens
ACTGTGGGGAGGGCACCAAGCCATTCATGAGGGATCTACCCCCATGACCCAAACAGCTTCCACTAGGCCCCACCTGCAGCATTGGGGATTACATTTCAACATGAGGTTTGGCAGGGACAAATATTACAAAGATGCAGAGTAGACACCCAGAGCCCCCTGCTGAAAATGCAGCAACTGGATATCGGTAAACAGAGCAGAGACATCAGCTGTAGCCAACTGCAGGGGTAACAGATTTCACAGTTACCAGTGCAGGGAAAGTTAACCACGTTCACTGAGGGGCAGGGGTGGTGGTGGTGGGAGAATTGCCATCTTTAGAGAGATTGTTGTAGATTCCAGACTCTCTAAAACAAAACATATAATGTCCACTTTATCAAATAGGATCAGACATAGAAAGAAAAGAAAGAAATGTGTGACTATAATAAGGAGGAAATTAAAAATAAATGGGTTTCAATGGGTCCAGATATTGAAATTATCAGCAAACTCTTTAAGACAGTTTTGAAAAATATGTGGAAAGAAATGAAGGAAATATCATTTCTAAAGAGTGAATAGAAGTAATTGCAGCAGAGAAATGAAAACTATAGATGGTACTAAGTGGAAATTCTCAAACTGGATAGAAAAATAATGACAGTGCTCTGGATGAGGTCAACAGAAGTTTTGAGATGGCAGAATAAAGAATCAGTCAGTGTCCTTGAATATAAATCAACAGAAATTGTCTAATCTAAAAATAAAAAAGAGTGAAATAAGATTAAAGAAAAGTGAAGAAAACTTCACAAACCCTCAGAAAATATAAAGCAGGTAAACAGGTGACCAATTGGAGTCCCAAAAGAAGATAGACACAGGATCAGAAAAAAAATTCAAAAAAATCTATGGCTGAAAGATTCCCAAATTTGATGAAGAATTTTAGCTTATAGATGTAAGACACTCATCAAAGCTGAATACCCACATAGAAAATCATGGGTAGAGTGGCCATGGCCTTGGCTGGCCTGAGGGTGTGTCGCTAGCCCTGCTGCATGTGGTGTGGTGCAGGGTGCCAGTGCCTGGTGGGACCAGAGAGCTCCCAGCACAGCCTTTGGGCAGGTGGGACCGCCGATCATTTTAAAATAATTTTTTATTGATTTAACTTATATTTTGAGTTCAGGCATACATGTGCAGGTTTATTATATAGGTAAACTTGTATCATGGGGTTTGCTGTACAGATTATTTTGTTACCTAGGCATTAAGCCTAGTACCTATTAGTTACTTTTCCTGATCCTCTCCCTCCTCCCAGCCTCCACTCTCTGGTAGGCCCCAGTGTGTGCAGTTCCCTTCTATATGTCCATGTGTTCTCATCATTTAGCTCCCACTTATAAGTGAGAACATGTGGTATTCGGTTTTCTTTTCCCGCATTAATTTGCTAAGGATAATGGCCTCCAGCTCCATCCATGTTCCGCAAAGGACAAGAACTCATTCTTTTTTATGGCCACATAGTATTCCATGATGTATATGCACTACATTTTCTTAAAAGAGAGCAGGAGTGGCTATTCTTATACAAAACAAAAACAGACTTTAAAGCAACAACAGTAAAAAAAAAAAAAAAGACAAAGAAGGACATTATATAATGATAGAATGATAATTCCAACAAGAAGATATCACAGTCCTAAATTTATATGCACCTAACAGTGGAGCTCCCAGCTTTATAAAACAGTTACTACTAGACTTAAGAAATGAGATAGACAGCAAGACAATAATAGCAGGGGACATCAATACTCCACTGATAGCTCTAGACAGATCATCAAGACACAAAGTCAACAAAGAAACAATGATCTTAAACCATATCCTACAACAAATGGACTTAACAGATATTTACAGAACATTTCTTCCCAGTAACTGTAGAATATACATTCTTCTCATCAGCACATGGAACATTCTCCAAGATAGACCATATGATAGACCTCAACACAAGTCTAAACAAATTTAAGAAAACTGAAATCCTATAAAGTATCTTCACAGACCAGAGTGGAATAAAACTGGAAATCAACTCCAAAATGAAACTTAAAAACTGTATGAGTACATGGAAATTAAATAACCTATTCTTGGATGATTTTTCAGTTAACAATGAAATCAAGATGGAAATTTAAAAATTCTCTGAAATGAATGATAATAGTGTCACAAGTAATCAAAATCTCTGGGATATAGCCAAAGCAGTGAAAATAAGAAAGTTCATAGCAATAAGTGCTGACTTAAAAAAGCCTGAAAGAGCCCGGGCACAGTGGCTTATGCCTGTAATCCCAGCACTTTGAGAGGCTGAGGCAGGTGGATCAGTTAAGGTCAGGGGTTTGAGACCAGCCTGACCAACATGGTGAAACCTTGTCTCTACTAAAAATACAAAAATTAGCTAGGCGTGGTGGCACGCGCCTTTAATCCCAGCTACTCAGGAGGCTGAGGAAGGAGAATCACTTGAATCCAGGAGGTCGAGGTTGCAGTGAGCTGAGATTGCGCCACTGCACTCCAGCCTGGGCAACAGAGTGAGACTTCATCTGGGAAGGAAAAAAAAAATCTGAATAAGCACAAATTGAAAACCTAATGTCACACCTCAAGGAACTGGAGAGATAAAAACAAATGAAACCCAAAGCCAGCATAAAAAAGAAATAATAAAGATCAGAGCAGAAATAAATGAAACTGAAACAAAAATAATACAAGAGATAAATGAAAAAAAAGTTGGGTCTTTGAAAAGGTAAACAAAATCAATAGACCATTGGTGAGGTTAACCAAGAAAAGGAGAGAAGATCCAAATAAGCTCAATTAGAAAACAAACTGGAGATATTACAACTAATACCACAGAAACACAAAAGTTAATTCAAGGCTACTATGAACACCTTTACACACACCAGCTAGAAAATCTAAAAACTGATAAATTCCTGGAAACATACAACCCTCCTAGACTAAATCAGGAAGAAATAGAAATCATGAGCAGACCAATAACAAGCAGTGAGACTGAAACAGTAATAAAAAAAACTGTCAACAAAAAAAAGCCTAGGACCAGATGGGTTCCCAGACAAATTCCATTAGACATTCAAAAAATTGGTACCAATCCTACTGAAACTATTCCAAAAGATAGAGAAAAAGGGAATCCTCCCTAAATCATTCTATGAAGACAGTATCACCCTAATGCCAAAAGTAGGAAAGGACATAACAAAAAAGAAAAATACAGACAAATATCCCCAATGAACATACATGCAAAAATGTTCAACACAATACTAGCTAACCAAATCCAGTAGCCTATCAAAAAAATAATACACCATGTTGAAGTGGGTTTCATCCCAGGGATGCAGAGATGGTTT
Organism: Homo sapiens; assembly: GCF_000001405.40. NCBI lineage: Eukaryota > Metazoa > Chordata > Mammalia > Primates > Hominidae > Homo > Homo sapiens. The sequence continues at coordinate 1,641,855 of NT_167245.2, forward strand.
AACATATGCAAGTCAATAAATGTGATACACCACATAAACAGAATTAAAAACAACAATCATATGATTATCTCAATAGATGCAGAAAAAGCATTTGATAAAATCTAGCATTGCTTTATGATAAAAACCTTCAACAAAATAGGCATAGAAGGGACTTACCTCAAAGTCATGAAAGTCATATATGACAAACTCACAGCCAACATCATAGTGAATGGGGAAAAGTTGAAAGCATTCCTCCAAGGACTGAAACAAGGCAAGGATGCCCACGTGCACCACTTCTATTCAACACAGTATTGCAAGTTCTAGCCAGAGCAATCAAGCAAGAGAAAGAAATAATGGGCATCCAAATTAGAAAAGAGGAAGTCAAACTGTCCCTGTTCACTGATGATATGATCGTATACCTAGAAAATACTAAGACTCATCCAAAAGACCCATAGATCTGATAAACAAATTTAGTAAAGTCTCAGGTCACAAAATCAATGTACACAAATCAGGAGCATTGCTATACACCAACAACGACCAAGTGAGAATCAAATCAAGAACTCAATCCCTTTTACAACAGCTGCAAAAACAAACAACAACAACAACAACAAAAACCTCCAAAAAAACAACACCCCCCAAAACCTAGGAATATACTTAACCAAGGAGGTGAAAGATCTCTGCAAGGAAAACTAAAAAACACTGCTGAAAGAAATCATAGATGACACAAACACATGGAAACACATCCCATGCTCATAGATGAATAGAATCAATATTGTGAAAATGACCATACTGCCCAAAGCAATCTATAGATTCAGTGCAATTTTCATCAAAATACCATCATCATTCTTCACAGAACTGGAGCAAACAACCCCAAAATTCATGTGGAACCAAAAAAGAGCCCACGTATCCAAAGCAATACTAAGCAAAAATAACAAATCTGGAAGCGACCCATTAACAGACTTCAAGTTACACTACGAGGCTATCGTTACCAAAACAGCATCATACTGGTATAAAATAGGCACTTCAGCTGGGCACGGTGGCTCACGCCTGTAATCCCAGCACTTCGGGAGGTAGAGGCAGACAAATCACCTGAGGTCAAGAGTTCGAGACTAGCCTAGCCAACATGATAAAACACCATCTCTACTAAAAATACAAAAAAAATTATCTGGGCGTGGTGGTGGGCACCTGTAATCCCAGCTATTTAGGAGGCTGAGGCAGGAGAATCACTTGAACCTGGGAGGCAGAGGTTGCAATGAGCTGAGATCGTGCCATTGCACTCCAGTCTGGGCAACAAGAGTGAAACTCCATCTCAAAATAAGATAAAATAAAAAATAGGCGCTTAGACCAATGGAATGGAATAGACAATCCAGAAATAAAGCCAGATGCCAACAGCTAACTGATCTTTGACAAAGCATACAAAAACATAAATTGGGAAAAGCACATCCTATTCAATAGAGAGTGCTGGGAAAACTGGCAAGCCACATATAGAATGAAACTGTATCTCCATCTCTCACTTTATATAAATGTCAACTCAAAATGGATCAAAGACTTAAACCTAAAACCTAAAACCTAAAACCATAAAAATCTTAGAAGATAACATGATAACATTAAAAAACTCTTCTGGACATTGGCTTAGGCAAAAAATTCATGACTAAGACCCCGAAAACAAACACAACAAAAATAAAAATAAATAAATGAGACCTGGTTGAATGATAAAGCTTCTACACAGCAAAAGAAATAATCAGCAGAGTAAACAGACAACCCACACAGTAGGGGAAAATATTCACAGACTATACATCCAACAAAGGACTAATATCCAGAATCTACAAGGAACGCAAAGAAATCAGCAAGAAAAAAACAAATAATCCCATCAAAAACTGGGCAAAGGACATGAATTGACAGTTCTCAAAAGAAGATATACAAATAGCCAACAATCATGAAAAATTGCTCAAGATAACTAATCATCAGGGAAATGCAAATTATAAGTACAAGATACCACCTTACTCCTGCAAAAATTGCCATAATTAAAAAATTTTTAAAAACCACAGTAGATGTTTGTGTGGATGTGGTGAAAAGGGAACACTTTTGCACTGCTGGTGGGAATGTAGATTAGTAAAACCACTTTGGAAAGCAGTATGGACATTATTTAAAGAACTGCAAGTAGATCTACCATTCAATCCAGCAATCCCACTGCTGGATATCTACCCAAAGGAAGTCATTATATGAAAACGACACATGCACGTGCATGTTTACAGCAGCACACTTCACGATTGCAATGACATGAAAACAAAGTAAGTGTCCATCGACCAACAAGTGGACAAAGAAAATGTGGTATATGTACACCATGGAGTATTACTTAGCCATAACAAGGAACAAAATAATGTGTTTTGCAACAACCTAGATGGAGATGGAGGCCATTATTCTAAGTGAGGTAACTCAGGAATGGAAAACCAAATACTGTATGTTCTCACTTATAAGTGGGAGCTAAGCTAGGAGGATGCAAAGACATATAGAGCGATATAATGGACTTTGGGGACTCAAGGGACAGGCTGAGAGGGGAGTGAGATAAAAGACTACATATTGGGTACAGTGTATATTGCTTGGGTGACAGGTGCACTAAAGTCTCAGAATTCACCACTAAAGAACTCATCCATTAAACCAAAACCCACCTGTACCCCAAAAAACTATTGAAATAAAATAAAACTTCATAGGGCAAACAACAACAAAAACAACAACAACAAAGAAAATAAATAAATCATACAAAAAATATTTAAGATCTCTGAAATCCAAGACACTAGAAATCAAGAGACACTGTGGAAAGAGTACATAGAAGACCTAAATAAATAGATCCCCTGTTCATGGGGAGCAAGATTTAACATTGTTAAAATGCAACACTCCCCAAATTAACCCAGAGATTTAAAAAAAAACTAACAAAATTCTAGGAGGCTTTTTGATAGAAATTTATGAGCTGATTTACAAATTTATATGAAAACATAAAAGGTCTAGAATAACTCATGCAATTTATTTTTTAAAAATTTTAGAGAAAGAGTCTTTCTATATTACCCCATGTTGGCTTCTAACTTCTGGGCTCAAGGGATCCATCCACCTCAGCCCCCAGGTAGCTGAGACTACAGTCATGCACTACCATGTGCAGCTAATTTTTCATTTTTTTTCAGGACAAGTTTTGCTATGTTGTCCGGGTTAGTCTTGAACTCCTGGGCTCAAGGTGTCCTCCCATCTCAGTCTCTTGAGTAGCTGAGACTACAGGCATGTTATCATAGTCAGTACAATTTAAGTAATTTCTAAAAAGATGAACAAAGTTATAGGAGTTATTTTGACTAAAAAAGCTGAGATAATTTATTATGTTAATAAATATTCTTGTACAATTACACCTATTAATTACTTTTAAAATTTCTGCTTCACATCTCTGCAACCTTGGGCTTAGTGGATTTCCCAGGAAAGAAATGCTTCCACCAAATAAGAACCTCAGCTGGCCATTTTATATTTCCATAAAATATAGTGGTATGAGGGTTCTAATTTCTGCTTATCTTTCCTAACATTTATTTTCATTTTAAAAAAATTATTATTATAGCCATATTATTGTGGTTTAATTTGCATTTCTTTAATGGCTAATGATGTTGAGTATCTTTTCCTGTGTATATTGGCGGTTTATGTATCTTCTTTGAAGAAATGACTTTTCAATTTCTTTGCCCATTTTGTAATGGGATTATTTGTCATTTTGTTATTGATGTTTAAAGGGTTCTTTGTGTATCCAAACACTTGACCCATATGAGATATGTAATAGGCAAATATTTTCTGCCATTGTATGGATTGCCTTTTCACTGTATTGATAGTGTTCTCTGATGCATAAAAGTTTTGGTTTGATGAAGTTCAATTTATCTATTCGACTCTATAACCATACCCAGGGCAGGATCAGGAAAACAAGGACAGGAGACGTGCAGGGGCTGGACCACCTTCCCTCTTGGGTGACTGGAGGTCTGTCCTCAGCAGTCTTTCCCTTCTGACCTATGACTTCTGGGAATCGGGTCCCCATCTCTAGAATCATCAAGGTGATGACTGGTCCTTTATTTTCACAAGTGCTTTACGTTACAGAAATTTCAGCAAGCAGGGACTATGACTGGGTAAGCATGAGTGTTTGTGTTTTGTGTGTGTGTGTCTGTGTGTGTGGTGGGGGGCGGGGTATGTGGGGTACATTTTATTATCAATGCAGAATGGAACATGACAATGCAGATCCCAGTCCTTACATACCAGAGCTCTTCTTCCGCTTCATCGCAAGTGTAGCCACCACAGCTCAAGTAACCACATCTCCAATGAAATTTGATAGTGCATACCAGAGTATCTTAGTTTTTAATCTCCCTAAAAGTATACCATGTCACTCATAGATTGAATATATCAAAGTTGTCTTCATATGGAAGCCATGAATTTGTCTATATGGGTCTCAGACATATCATTGAAATATAGCATGCCCAAGAAAGTTTAATTAATGTGTATTTGAACAACTACAGTGTATAGACATCAACCAAAATATGAATTATCAGTTCATAGTATCAAGTCTTCATAAATGCACATCACTGTTGCCAATCCATGTCTATATTTCACTGGAAATCTGGCATAATATTTTCTTTACTTTGGTGAATGTAAGAAGGCAAATAAGTCTTGAGTACTCATCCTAAGTTGTATTTATTGGATACCACATATATTAAGTACCCTACAGACCCAGTAGACACATTTCAAAAATTATAAAATAATTAAACCTTACAATCCCATCGCATTAGTAATCTTTACTTTTCCACAACTTGAAACAATTCTATGTCCTTCAACTCTCGGACCCCTTTCCTCATCGTCTCTTCCTAGGTCAAATATGTATGAAGTTTTCACAACTCTGGAGTGCAGATGTTCTAAGCATGACCAAAATGTGAAAAGTGATGAAGAATGATGATAATCATTTTGACTACTTACAAATTAAAAAAAATCTCTTTGGCATCCACAAACACAGAAATGTACAAACACTTTCCCATAATCAACCTCAAAGACATGTAAACAGTTGATGGACAAAATAGTAACAATGTGTTAATACCCTTCAGCCCAAGGCCACCTGGAGCACATCTGTGGGTGAAGAAGTTGGGTTTATTACTCACTGCAGTGGGAGGGAGAATGCACACCTTGGATAACTACCGAGTATCTTGGTAAGTGCCTTTTAGATAGAGCCTATTATAATATTTGGGCTTCAGCTGGTATTTCAAGTTTCCCTGGGATTTAATTAATTAGTAGTTATGACTGAATGATGACACAGAGAGGTCTATGCCACTGAAAAAAGAGTTTATTACCCACTGACATAGGAAGCACAGCACAACAGGCAGCACCAAGGCTGGTCAAGTGGCAACGGGAGGGGAAAGCATGGGCGAGAGCCTCTAATGTGGTTTTTAGGGGAATGAATGAGCAAGGCAGGGTAAGCAGTGTAGACATGTTCAGTATTGATGAGTCTGAATAATCTTGGTGACTCTGAGGCATAGGGATTGTCTCTAGTTGTCTGATACCTGTCTCTCAGATTATTAAGACAGGAGAATATTGACTGGGAGTATCGGGGCCATGTGACAGCCAGAAAAAAAGAACTCATTCTGAGTTTGGGCTCTGGTTTGGTTAGTTTGCATAAGAAAGGCGCATTTGCGGTCAATCCCTTTAGTATCTGTAGGAATAGACTAGTCTTGGGAGGGGAGTCCTCACAATCAGTGAGGACTCAGATGCCAGAGCATGAGAATAAGGAAAAAAAGAAAATACAGATAACACAGTTGAGAAATTCTATTTTATTTTATTGCTCTAGATTTAGTACTGTCAGTAAGCAGAGGCAATTCTACAATTCGGTATTTCAATAAATCTTACCTTTAGGGAGGGTGGACTAGAGTGCAGATAAAGCTTAATCCGTAGAGAAGCATCAGCCACTCATACTAGCCGGGAGAGGGTTTAGACAAAATTATGAAGTACTTTTGTTTCGCCTCACTTTCTCATGGGCTGAGAGTGATCCAGTGTGGTGTTGGTATTTTGTGATATAATTTATGTCCCAGAGGGACTAATATGGCCCAGTAGTGAAGACCAGACCAGCTCCTGGCAACACTGATGCCCAGCTGTGCCAGACAAGTTCCCAGATATTAGGGGCTGCTTTTTCTTGATTAAATTCAATATTTAAAAATATCAGCATTACGTTTGAGAAATGATTAAGAAATGTCATATAGTTATATTAGTAATAAATATGTGCAAAAAATAAGAATGTAGACTACAAAATGGGAACCAGAATTAAAATCCATCAGCTTGGCAAAGACAGAAGTAAATGATGGTAGTATTGATCAGAGTACAGGGAAAATGTACTGTTACGAAGACTGATGGCATTGAAAAGTGGTACAAAACTTCTAAAGGGCACTTTTGCAAAATGTCTCAATAATTTAAATGTTCTGACGTTTTTGAGACAGAGTCTTGCTCTGTCGCCCAGGCTGGAGTGCAGTGGCACAATCTTGACTTATTGAAGCCTCCACCTCCTGGGTTCAAGCGATTCTCCTGCCTCAGCCTCCCGCGTAGCTGGGACTACAGGTGCGTGCCACCACGCCCAGCTAATTTTTGTAATTTTAGTAGAAATGGGGTTTCACCATGATGGCCAGGCTCATCTCAAATCCTTGACCTCAAGTGATCCACCCGCCTTGGTCTCCCAAAGTGCTGGGATTACAGGGGTGAGGGACTGCGCCGGGCCTAAGTGTTCTGACATTTTGACATGAAAATTTCTCTTTTAGGAATTTATCCCAAGGAAATAATTACATATCTTTCTAAAAACGCATATATAGGCCGGGCGCGGTGGCTCATGCCTGTAATCCCAGCACTTTGGGAGGCCGAGGCAGGTGGATTACGAGGTCAGGAGTTCAAGATCAGCCTGGCCAACATGGTGAAACCCCGTCTCTACTAAAAACTACAAAAATTAGCCGAGCGTGGTGGCAGACACCTGTGGTTCCGGCTACTCGGGAGGCTGAGGCAGAAGAATTGCTTGAACCCGGGAGGTGGAGGTTGCAGTGAGCTGCGATCATGTCACTGCACTTCAGCCTGGGTGACAGGTCGAGACTCTGTCCCAAAACAAAAACAAAAAAACCACATATATAAGAATGTTCCTTGAATTGTGGTTTATAAAAGCAAAATAATGGAAATAACCCAAAGATTGTAATGAATATAGTGATGATAGTTATCAATAATGGAGCATTTAGTATGACTCAGAAAATAATGCCATGGCTTTACATAGAGAGTCAGATTTAATCCTCAATGCAAACCCATGGGGAACTCAATATGTGATCCTTTGTACAGACAGGGAAGGAGAGAGGTAAAGAAGGTGGTGGGGCTAGGGTTGAACCCTGGAGATTTTCTCTCAGAGGCCTTGTTGACTTGTCTTCCATTGATTCTCTCTTCATCTGCACCTTACACAAGTGAACTGTTTTGATGTCCCAGAATGTTCTATGGACAGGAGGCCACTGGCTCAGAGCTCAGGAAGACAAGAAGGGCAATGACTTAACTGCCAAATTCACGCAGAAGTCCGTTCATCCAGGGTGTATTTCCAGTGATCAGGAGATCTGCTAAGCACTTGAGGATATAATGAAGAGCAAGAGTAAAATCTTGGAGATGGGGAGTTTTCAATATTGTAAGGAAGATAAATATTTAGCAAAAATTGCCCCAAGATTGTGAAATTGCTAATGAGCGTAAGGGAAAAGTTTGTGATATCATGAAAGCAGGTTACAAGGAGACCTAATGGGTCCCTACCACTATTACCAATTATGTGTGAAAGATGTAAGAAAACAGCAGTTATGAGATTTGAACAAATTTATAAACAATTTCATGCAGAGAACTAGAAAGAGCTCTGGAATTTTAAAATATGATCATTGAAATAAAGAGTTTAAAAAATGAACTGAAATGAAAGTTGTGTGCTGCAAGGTAGTACAAAATAAAAACGTGATGCCAAGCATGATAGAACTTTAAGAATATTATACTATCAATTAAGGAATTCCAGCAGTCTCATAATATAAGTTCCAATAACCATAGAAAGTAATTAAAAGTAATTCAAGAAAATGTTTTGAAGGCTACTGACAAAAATGTATAGTGTGAATGGCTGCAACAAAGTTCTCAATACAGGAGATGGAAACAGACCCACACCAAGACTCATGACAACAAAATTTCAGAGAGTGAAAGACAGAGCAAGACCAATGGACAAAGGAATGGCAGGAGGTCTGGTCGTGTGTGTGCATTTCCTCCTTCCCGTCTGTCATTGTCCTTCCTCACCAGGCCTGCAGATCACCTGTGATGACTTGGCCTCTTGCCATCCCTAGCTGGGCAAACTCCATCATGGTGACACACGGGATGGCAGAAGTGCAAGGCCTCGTTTCTGCTGGATGAGCCTTCTGGAGACTGTCTCAGGGTTTTCTGAGAACTTCTTTAAAACCTGGTCTACGGGCATGCATTACCCCAGTTATTTTTTCCCTAAGTGAAAAATCAACCAGAGGAGATGATTTATTTTAATAGCCTTATTGCAGGAGAGGAAGGTGAAAAGTGTTTCTATTCATTGGCCCATTAGTTACAATGGGCAGAGGCCACTGAGCGAGCAGCGGGTGGTGGCAGTGATGACCACACGTTCTCACGGCAGCGCAACACTTTTGAGACAAGTTCCCACCTCTCCATTAAACATGTCTTCTCCACGTGCAGAAAATGTGGTCTCGTAGCTTCCCTTCTCAGTGCTGGATTGCTGGCATTTCATTTTCCTTATCAGAGACATGAATATCTTTGTTCTTCTTGGATTTCTAAGACTTCAGGTTTTCTTCAGGGAGAAGCTGCTTAGGGAGGCTCCTGCGTGGACCGAGTCCTTCCTGAGGGTTTGCTTGGTGCCCTAACTGTGGCTGACTGCCTCCCGCGGGGTCCCAACTTTATACCCAGAGGTAAGGACAGATGCTTCCAGCTCCATCTTATAACTTCCACATGAAATTTGAGGTCAGGAACTTCTCTTAACTCGTCTTAAAGGGCCTCATACTTACATTCTTGACTCGGAAAATAATTAAGTGTGCGTTTGAACATGTTTCCTCCGCAATTTACTCTCTGGAGGGGAATACATTGAAAACCCAGTTTATTTTCAGATACTGAGTGGGATTGAAAAGCTGAATTGTCTGTTTTCCTGCAGGGCACACAGAGGAACTGGCTGTCCCACACCACTCTGACATTTCCAGAGAAGCACCGTCCTCTTCCAGTAGGACATGAGTAAGACCAGTGAGGAGCCAACATGCAGCCCCTGGGCATCTCTGGGGTTGAAGGAAAGATATATATGTCCTTCTGATGTGTGGAGCCCTGAGGGCAGTGTTCAAGACCCTGCATTTTCCGAAGTACTTGTTTACTGAGCAAGTGTTTCTGCTTGTTGCATTATGTCAGGGGATATGGAAGCCACTTTTCATCCAGCCAAACACAGATGCAAATGAGATGTTCTGGGAGAAAGCAGAAAAAGCCCTTTTCACAGAGTTCCTTATTTTACTATTCTATTACACTTGTCTGAGGTTACAATCACATCCTTTTTTAACAATCTCTAAATGAGAAAATCATCAAAAGGGTATGTAGTGAGTGACAGACACAGGATAAATGCTGTAAGTCAGTGTTTGATGAAAGATACTGGTGTTCCAGGATGTCAGAGTCTCCTGGGTGCCAGTAGGGAGGTGGTCAGGGACTTTATCCAAGAAGCAGAAAGAAGAGCTTCAGGGACATGAGGATGTCTCATAGCCAAGGACAGGACAGTAAAGGGCCCCGTGTGAGTGCATCACAGAGGTCTGTTACTGTTCAGACCCCAAAGCTCAGCACCCAGTGTGGCATGTGGCAAGACCTCAGCAAACACATCAGTTGGCTGGATGAAGGAGGGCAGGTGTGAGCCGACAAGGAAAATCTTGTGATTTTTGTTGGGAAATGAATGTAAAAGTGTTGATGTACCTCCCTTGTAAGGAGATAGAAAGGTAGAGAGCAGACAGATGCATGCATGGATGAATGCATGGATGGATGGATGGTTGGATGGACGGATGGATGTTCATTTTCTGTGTGTGTTTCTATCTCTGTTCTGCCTTTCTGTTTTGTCTCTGGCTCTGTCTGTATCTGCCATTGTCCCTTCACAACCATGCCTTCACTATTATCAGTAACATCTTTTACCTGGTCTTATAGGATCTTGCCTGTGTTGTATTAGTGGTCAAGGACAGAAAAAAGAAAGAAGTCTGTGGAAAACAAAATAAAGGAAACAGATGCTTCTGACATGCGGCAGTGGAAGGATGTGTGGACCTGAGGCCCCCAGGGAGACAGGGGCTGCGCCTCACTGCAAAGTCGATCCTGCTGAACACAGAGGGGAAACGCGCTCAGACAGCCCTGCCCGTGCTGATCAGAAGGGAGGGTTGCGCCTCCAGATCCTTCTCCCTGTGTTTCTTCAGGGCCCAGCCCTGAGAGTTCCAGGGTCCCATTTTCTTAGTTAGGACCTTAAGACCCTATCAGAGTCCAGCCCCAGGAAGCCTGCAGTCATAGCACTGGGCTAGACCAAGTTGCTGCTATGAAAAGGGATTTGAAAATTCCCAGAGGAGCCTTTCAGCCTCTTTCCATGGCTCTTTATGCCCTTTCAAAGGCACAGCCAGAGACATCAGAAATGAAATTGTATATAATTATATGGACTTTTCGACAATCATTGAAATTTTTGTAAGTGCCAGTTATATTTTGGCAACCCCATCAAAGCCAGGTGTGCCCAGGGCAGTCAGCTCAGGCCCTGGCCTCTCATTCAGGTTGGATTCTATAAGAACCGCATTCGCGGTGAGAATTCTAGAGCCAGATCTTGCTGCTCCACAATTGCCTCACGTTGCAAGACAAGCAAATCTAGCCTGAGTCTGTGGATTCCAGGGCTGCTTAGGAGGAACCTGCATTCCCGCGTGGATGACCTCAGGCTCCGCCCCTTCTGCCCCACTCAGCCCTCACCCAGTGCCTGAGAGCGCTCAATCAGAATGCGAGAGCAGCGCGGCGGCGCCCCCGTGTGGCCACAGGGACGAGGACAGAGGACCGGACCCCGCTCCCCTTTCTCACCAACCAGGACCTCCGAGGCTCTCCCTCTGCTCCCAGCACCTGGACAGGGCTCTGCACTCAAGGAGCCTCCGGGTCTCAAGTCAGGCTCTGAGTCCATTCAGCTTCCCAAAATCCATGTTGACAATGACATTTCCTCTCACCACTGAGTGACTGGACTTTTGCCTCAGAGCAGAGAGAGGCCTCCAGGGCAAAACAGTGGGATCAGATGTGGGGATGACACACCCCCAAATCCTTGCTGCCACAGGACCCAGTCCCTCAGCCTCCAGATGGGGCCTTGGCCTCCCGTCCCCTCCTTTGTTCCTGCTGCTAGAGGCTGCTCATCCCAGGAATCAGCCTGTTAGCCTCCAACCCTGGGGTCCAGGGACAGCAGCTCCTAGTGCCTCGGTCCAGGAAGAAGGGAACCTCCAGAGAGCAGAAGAGAGAAGAAATGGATCATAAGAGAAGGGGGCAAGGGGGGAGAAAGAGAGTGAAAGGAGCCAGGGAGGAGAGAAAAATGGAAAACATCCTGTTAGGAATGTGTGTGTTTGTGTTGATGTGTGTGCGTGCAGGTGTGTGTAGAGTGGGAGAGAGTTTCTAGGGTTCTGAGGAGAAGAGAGCTGCTATACAGGTGCTAAGGGGCCCAGCCCTGGGAATTTCAGGGTCCCGCTTTCTGAGCTAGGATCTTAAGGCCCTATCAGAGTCCACCCCCAGGAAGCCTGCAGTCATAGCACTGGGCTAGCTGGACGGCTGCCTCTTCTTTGCCTTTGACAGCAGGAGCTGCCATGCCAGGCCCAGGGGCCCTGGGGTCATGGGCAGAGAGCAGGTCCCTCTGCTGGCAGCCAAGGAGATGTTGTTCTTGGAGGGTCAAAGACTTACTTAGCTGGGAGTCTGAAGGTGGTCATGGGTTACAAAGGGGTTACAAAGAGCTCAGCGGTGAGCCTGGCCCAAGCTTCTGACCCCTTTCTTTGGATCTCAAGGGCTGACCATGGATTCTCAATGGATCTCAAGAATTCGCCCATTTACCTCTTGCCCCAGACCCTCCCCACTTCGATACCCTGGGACCCAGGCATCTGCCTCTTTCCTTCTCCTCCGGCCTCCCAAGCACCTCCAGGCCCTGCTCTCTGCCAACCTGAACTCCAGGACCCTGCAGCCCCACCCCAAAATTGCTTGATAATACAGTGATTCTATTTTCAGTGTTTTGAAAACTCTGTATACTGTTTTTTACAGTTGCTGTACTAGTTTTACACACTGTGTGTAAGAGTGCCCTTTTCTCCACATCCTCACAAACATCTATTTGTTTGTTTGTTTTTTTTTGTCTTTTTAGTTGTACCCATTCTATCTGGGGGTAAGATGATATCTCATTGTGGTTTTGATTTGCATTTCCCTGATGATAAGTGATGTTGAGCATTTTTCATGTACCTGCTGGCCATTTGTATGTCTTCTTTTGAGAAATGTCTATTCATGTCGTTTGTCCACTTTTTAATAGAATTTTTTGGTTTTTTTAGCTCTTGAGTTCCTTACATATTCTGGATATTAGTCCCTTGTCAGATAAATTGTTTGAAAATATTTTCTCCCATTCAACAGGTTGTCTGTCTACTCTTTTGATGGTTTTCTTTGCTGCGCAGAAGCGTTTTAGTTTATTATAGTCCCATTTGTCTATTTTGTTTGGGTTGTCTGTGCTTCTGAAGTCTTAGCCATAAAATCGTTACCCAGACCAATGTCCTAGAATGTTTCTCATATGTTTGCTTCCAGTTGTTTTATAGTTTTGGGTCTTACGTCTAAGTATTTAATCCATCTTGAGTTGATATTTATATAGGGTGAGATATAGGGATCTAATTCCATTCTTCTGCATGTGGATATCCAATTTCCCCAGCACCATTTATTGAAGAGGGTGTCCTTTCCCCAAATGTATGTTCTTGGCACCTTTGTCAAGAATCAGTTGGCTGTAAATATATGGATTTATTTCCAGATTCTCTATTATGCTGCATTGATTGACATGTGTTTGTAGAGACGAGGTCTCAGTATGTTTCCCAGGCTGGTCTAGAACCTCTGGGCTCAAGTGGTTCACCCTCCTTGGCCTCCCAAAGTGCTGGGATTACAGGAGTGAGCCACAGTACCTGGCCTTTGTGCTGTGTTTTGATTCATCGTTATCTCCTAAGCCCTTTCCCAGCATTGATATTTTACTAAACACCCTATGATTAAATTATATCTCTACACCTTGAGATAAACAAAAAATTATATAAGCGGTAAAGACAAATATGAAAAAATAAAACTACTACCAATGTTATTAGGAGGATAACCTTAAAACATTTGAGCAAGAAAATTTTTCTTTTTTTCTTTTTTCTTTTTTTTTAGCTGTACCTGCTGGAATGGAAAATATTTCTTAAATGAGACAAATATATGAAAGTGAAAATGCTTAAACTTCAAAGGACTTACATTACATATATAGTCATTCTTTCTTAATGATAAGATAGGTTCTGAGAAATGTGTCCTTAGGTGATTTGGTCTTACGTGAACATCATAAAGTGTCCATACACAAAGCTAGATGATATAGCCTACTGCACACCTACGCTATATCATAAAGCCTATTGCTCCTAGGCTACAAACTTGGATAGCACATTACTATACTGAGTACTGTAGGCAATTGTAACACAATGGTAGGTATTTGTGGATCTAAACATATGTAAACAGAAAAAGTACAGTAAAAATATGGTAAAAAGATTTTTACAATGGCACACCTATATAGGTTACTCATCATGAATGGAGCTTACAGGACTGGAAGTTGCTCTGGGTGAGTCAGCAAGTGAGTGGTGAGTGAACTGAAGGCCTAGGCCATTACTGTGCACTACTGTAGATTTTATAAATGCTGTACACTTAGGTTACACTAAATTGATTTTAAAAATAATTTTCTTTCTTTAATAATAAATTAACCTTAGCTTAATGTAACTTTTTTAACTTTATAAACTTTAATTTTTAAAACTTTTCAGCTTTTGTAATAGCACTTAGCTTAAAAGACCAACATGTTACAAAGCTGTACAAAAATATTGTTCCTTATATTTTCATTCTAGAAACTTATTTCTATTTAATTTTTTTTTTACTTTTAAATCTTTTCTGTTAAAAAAAAAAGACATAAATTAGCCTAGGCTGACACAGGGTTAGGATCAACAATATCACTATCTTTAGCCTTTACATCTTGTCCCACTGGAAGATTTTCAGGTGTAATAACATGCATGGAGCTGCCATCTCCTATGATAACAATGCCTTCTTCTGGAATACCTCCTAAAGGACCTGGCCGAGGCTGTTTCAAGTTTTTTTAATAATTAGAAGGAGCACACTCTAAAATAACAATAAAAAGTATAGTAAATATGTAAACCAGTAACATAGTCATTTATTATCATTATCAAGGATTATGTATTGTACATAACTGTATGTGCTAGACTTTTATAGGATTGACAGTGCAGTAGGTTTGTTTACACCAGCATCACCACAAACATATCATTAATGCATTGTACTATGATGTACAGTGTCACCTACAATGTCACTACAGAGAAGAAACCCCCAAAATCTGCACTCCTAAGCTGCATATGCTTTAGGTGATACTCTAAGAAGCCCACCAGAGAACAGTTGCTTGGAGATTGCATGCTAAGTAGAAATGCCAAAGGCTTCAGAGTATGAGGAGATGTTGGAATTTTAGCCCAGCCAAACCTGGGTTGAGCCAACAGGGTGGTGAAGCACTATGAGTGAGGACCCTTGCCTTGGAGTAAGGACCGCACTGAACTAGACTCATGTTAACAAAGGCTAAAATCAAGCCTAAGCAGAATCAAAGTGGGTCTGATTTTTATGATAATTAATGAACCGTCAAGCAGTTAGCAGTCTTAGCAGGAAGATAGCAAAATCCAGAACCTCTGTAACACATCACCCAGAATATGTGGCATGCCAAGCAGCAGAAAAAATGCAACAAGTGGAGATAAAATAATCAACAGAAGCCGACTCAGATGATCTGGATACTGAAGCCAGCGAGCAAGGACATTCTTCAATATATTTATGATTAATATGTTAAGGATAATAGAGGAAATCATGGGCAAACTATTTCATAATCCCCAGAAAGATCAATCATACAAAGAGAGAAAACACGAATGAACACTGTGAGAAGGGACAACTTATAAAACCACAGATTTTATTAAAATGAAAATAAGAGAATATTAGACACAACTTCATGACAATACCTTTTAAAATTTAGGTGCAATGAAATGAGTTCTTGAAAAACACAGTTGAACAAAGCCAACAGAAAACTAAGTAGAAAATATAAATAGTCCTCTATCCATTAAGAAATTGAATTTTAATTAAATTCCTTCCCACCAGAAAAACTTCTTACCACATTTCCTCCCATCAATTCTTTCAAAAACTTAAAAAAGGAATGTCAGTCCTATATAGTCATCCCTTGGTATCCTTTTGGGCTGGGTTCTAGGACCCCTGTGGATACCAAAATCTGTGGATTCTCTGGTCCCATGTATAAAATGGCCTACTATATGCCTACTACCTATGCATATCATCCCATATACTTTAAATCATCTCTAGATTACTTACAATACCTAGTGCAATGTACATGATTGTAAACAGTAGTTATACTATATTGTTTAGGAAATAACGACAAGAAAATGTCTGTACATCTTCAGTACAGATGTAACCACTGTCAGTAGGCCTAACTACAGAGTACACAACAGCAGCAACATAACATTTCCAATCCTCAGGTAGTTGAATTCACAGATGTGGAACACACAGACATGGAGGACAGACTGTCTTATATTTTATATAATGAAGAGTGGCCAGGCGCGGTGGCTCATGCCTGTAATCCCAGCACTTTGGGAGGCCGAGATGGGCAGATCACCTGAGGTCAGGAGTTCAAGACCAGCCTGGCCAACATGGTGAAACCTCATCTCTACTAAAAATACAAAAAAATTAGCTGGGCGTGATGACAGGTGCCTGTAATCCCAGCTACTCAAGAGACTAAGGCAGGAGAATCGCTTGAACCTGATAATTGCTAGGCTTTGAGTAAAGTAGTTTGACCTTTATAATGTGACCCTCCCTAAACAAGATGGAACTCTGCAGCAGACATCCTGGGATTTGAACTGCAATATCAGTCAACTGACCCACAAAGAGCTGGTTGGTTTGTGTACAGCATTTGCAAGATGAGTGGACAACATCCTGTTTGGAAGTCTACCCCTTTGATCAAAGAAGTTAAAAACAGGACAGTTTTTTTTTTTTTTTTTGGTTGAATTGCATGATGTTTTCTGAGAAGTGATGAAAGAATTGAACAATGACAAAAGTCCCTATGTCTTAGTTTTTACTGACTTATGGGCATTGACTGATGGCCTGGCCATATAATTAAGAGAGCAATGGAAAACTGGCCTATGAAAAGAATACCCGTATAGGACACAGTCCTGTGGAAATCACTATGGTAATTTGAGGGGTGCATTAATGTAAGGCGTGTTGATGTCTGATATAAATTGGGTGTTGTCCCCACCCAAATCTCATGTTGAGATATAATCCCCAGTGTTGGAGGTGAGGCCTCAAGGGAGGTGATTGCATCATGGGGGTGGCTTCTCATGAATCGTTTAGTACCATTCCCTCAGAATAGTTCAATTAGTTCAATGCCCCTCAGAATAACCCTCCTCCAGGTTTGGAAGGTGATTGAAATCAACAAGCATTTATTTCTAAGTGATTTCCAGGTGTACCTGTATTTCCAGCTACAAGAAGAACTGAGGCAGAAGGATCTCTTGAGCCCAGGAGTCTTAGTTTTGCCTGAGCAACTTTTGAGTCCAGGGAAAAATATCAATACCACATCTCAAAAAAATCCACGTTTGCTTGTGGTGATCACCTGGGTCCGTGAAATAAGTAGACACTGAGGGCTGCAGCAATGCAGAGATAGGCTGAATCAAGATATATTCCTTTTACATCCTCCAACTCACAGGCACGAAATACCCATAAGGACTGTTCTGTTTAAGAAGAGACAGAGACAGCATATGGCTATGTAGCAAATTCTCTCATGGGAAGGTCTTGAAAATAGATAGCTGGCAAATTAGACTGATACCAGTACCCCTAGGAGGCAGCAAATGGGTCTTGGCAGGAATAGATACTGACCCTGGAGTAAGCATTGCTTAGCTGGTGGTAGATGTGTTATCAAACTGAACTGGGGCCCACTCACCTGGTGCAATAAAGGCAAACATCCACACTGAGATTTTGTAGTGGGAGAAAGGAAGGCGTTTATTTGCAAGGCACCAAGCAAGGAGAATCGGGCAGCTCACACTTAAGACCTAACCTCCCCAATGGCTTACAAGCAAGAGTTTTTAAGGCAGGAGTAAATTTCAGCAAAGCCGAGTTGCAGGCAACATCAAAAATCAATGCATAGAAATTACACACTGGTTTGGCCTAAAAAGGTGGGATATCCTGATGAGGGATCGTACAGGTCATAGGTGGATTGAAAGATTCTCTGATTTGTGATTGGATAAGGAGCCAAAGCTTTGTCTACACACTTAGGGGCAGTAGGGAGGAATGTTCAGGTCTGCTCTGTGGACCTGACTCTTTCCAGGCCCCTCAGGAAAAAATTTAGAACAAAGAGTCACAGTCAGCATTGAGTCCTCATTTTCCCCTTATCTGAGGTCTCCCTATCAGTGGCTCTGTTTGGTGAGAGTCTGGGTTCCTGAAAAACTACTCAAGGACATATGTTAAGATGTTCTCTTTAGTTTCTATAGAGAATCAAACATCTTGGGACTCTAACTTCCTTGGCTATTGTTTAAGCTATTTTTACCTGCTTGCTTATAAGGTCACTCACTTGCTTTTCAGGGCTGGCTAGGTGCCTGGAATTTCTCTTGAAGGAACTCAACATTTTCCTTTATTTCCATGTTAGGGAGGTCTAGCAGGCTTCTAAGATAAATCCGTACTTCATCTCAGATGCAAATGCTTAGAGCACTATAATAGAACCTGGACGGGAGATATTGCAACCATTTGCATCACTGAGTCACATTTCTTCACACCAGGAAACACATTTGCCCAAAATGTCCAACAATGTTCAGAAAAATATTTTGCTCAGAGGAATAGTTTCATAGAGAATAAAAATAGTCAAATGACACATTACTTGTATAAAGCAGGAGTGGGGAGACATAAGCATGAAGGGCGGGCTTACACACGTTCATGAGTGGGCTCACACCAGACATGAGTGTGGAAAAAGGAGTGTCCCCACTAGAGAGTATCCTCTTTTTTCCTGCTGGATCAGGGAAAGGTGCTAGTATGACCTGACATACGATTTTTCCCATGACAAGAGGACACTGGAATGATGACTAGACTTCACCTCAACTCGCCTTTCTCATACCTGATTCAGTGGTCTTAGGACAAGGGATGCATATAAAAGTGCCAAAACAGGAATTATTCCTAAGCAAGAAAGTGTAAATATATTTTAAAACCATTATGCAAGAATTCCTCAGGGCCTGGAGGAGTAGGTTGTGCCTTCACTGCATCTGGCAAAGTTGGGGCTAACACTGAATGCAGCTATATTGCCTGGGGTCAGATAGCCAACTAGTTCTCTACCTGCATAACCCTACCCTCTATGAACTGGAATGGACCAACGAGAGACACTTGCTAGAACAGTATTGCTCCCTTCAGTCTAGGCCAGCACAGTAGCAGAACTTAATGTTTCTTCCAAAACTGTTAATGTTTGGTATAAATGAAGTAGAAGGAGGAATAGTAGCTGAGGGTAAATGAATGAATAAATGGGTTGTGTAATGAGGAAAATCCAATGTTACATGAACTCCCAAAAAAAAGAGGTATAAGCAAGAGATGATATTGTCTCTTGACAATGATGGTGCACCCCGTCTCCATGGGGACAGAGGGTCGTGTGCTCAGAGTGCTTCCAGATGTCGCCTCCTGCACTTCATCTGCCTGCTCATTTGTATCCTTTACAACTGCTATTGTTTGAATGTTTCCCCAGAAAAGCGTCTGTTGGAAACTTAATCCCCAGTGCAACAATGTTAAGAGATGGGACCTTTGAGAGGTGATTGGACCATCAGAGCTCTGCCTTCATTAATGAACTGATCAAGGCTGCCCTCATTAATGCTGATCATAAAGGACCTGAGCCTGTGAGTTCGACCTCTTACTCCCTCTAGCTCTCACCCTCTCTTGCGCTTCTCCCTTCTGCCAGATACATTCCCTTGATTTTGGAATTCCCATCCTCGACAACCATGAGCCAATTAAATTTGTGTTCATTGTAAGTTATCCAGTCTCAGGTGTTCTGTTATAGTGGCATAATTTAAACCAGGGGTCCCTAACTCCCCTGCAGTGGACCGGTACAGGTTTGTGGCCTGTTGGGAACCAGACCGCACAGCAGGAGGTGAAGGGTGGGCGAGAAAGCATGAGCATGACCGCCTGAGCTCCGCCTCTGGTCAGATCAGTGGTGGCATTAGATTCTCATGGGAGCACGAACCCTATTGTAAACTGTGCATGCGAGGGATTTAGGCTGCACGCTCCTTTATAAGACTCCAGTGCCTGATCATCTGAGGTGGAACAGTTTCATCCCGAAACCCATCCCCGCCTACCTGTGCCGCCTGCCCTGGTCAGTGGAAAAGTTTTATTCCATGAAACCAGTACTTGGTGCCAAATATGTTGAGGTAAGCTATGATTACCGCTGATTTAAGCTATGACAATAATAAACTGCAATACTGAGTGTGAAAGAAAGATAAAATCTTGGGACCCCAAACTCACAGTGCCAAAGGGAAAAGTTAAGTTTGGGAACTGAGTCATGGAAAAACTGCCTTTCTTTTGTTCCTAAACAAATACCTGCAAAGATAGAGGACCACATATCTCCCCAAGTGGCCTCCCTCACAATCTGCTCACAATGTAATTCCTTGTGGGCCCCAACATCTTTACCCTAAAACAGAGTTTTGTTGACTTTTCCCCTGACAATGTAAAGTAACAGCTTATCTTCACAGGTACAGGACAAAGACAAGACTAGAAATCATCCCTTCATCCACCCGGAGACAAACACATATTTTACTACTCTATGTTTACTTTAGCTTATGTAAAATTCAGATTTACTGAGCACAAGATGAATGCATAGTTGACTGTTTTTCCCCTTCTGCCTGCTCTTTCCCCTGTAAGTACTGAAGTCCTCAAAACCCTTTTAGGAAAAAGCGTGGGCCACAGATGCTAGTGATTTTTGTCTCTTTTTCCAAGGTGCATCTTGGAATGGGAGACTGGAGGGACCCATGGATCCCAACCCTGGACCTGGTTCCCCCAGTACAATCCATGAGCCAGTTGAATCTGAATGCGAAGATGGAACGACGACTGACCAGAGTCATGCTGACATCAACCCCCATAACATGGGGACTGATCAAGAAAACCACACAGGAAGCTGAGAAACTGCTGGAGTGCCAGGGTGTCACCTTTTGCTGGAACTCAGAAGTACAATCGATGTTTAACGGACCAGTGCTTTCTGACTCAGCTCCTCTCTACCCTGAATACAAGAGACCCTAATAGTTAGGCAGGAATACCATCGCCCTTATTCTGCATGAAGAAGTTGCAGAAGACAGACCTTCATCCTTCTGCAACCCTTAGGATTAAGCATCCTCTTGTAAAAAGGGAAGGGGGAGATATGTAAGAAGCATTCAAACCACAGCAACTCTATTTTGAATAAGGGCTAAGAAAAATGAAGCTGGATCACCAACCGGCAATTAAGAGCTGCACAGCCTGCAATTACCTTGCTCAATTAATTTTAAAACAAAAAGGAGTAGATGTTGGAGGCCGCACGAATGTTTCTTATGATTTGCCACAATTGAAGCCTGCCAGTAACAATATGAACCTGTGATCAATTAAGCAGCTGACCAATCATTACCTCCTCCTCCTTGCCCTTATTACCCAGTAAATATGAAGGGCTAAGAAGCTCGGGCGGCGGCCTTTGCTCACTAGAAGCAGGGAGCTCTTTTCTTCTCGTCTCTCTTCTTCTTCCCCATGCTAGCCTTTCCTTAAAATGATGTAGGGTATCTGGCAGATAAAATTTCTAAGCAGCAAAGCATTCAAAGAGTGACTTGGGTGCTCCTAAAAGCATTCCATTTTCAAAGGGAAACAGAGCATAAAAGTTCAGAAAATTTACAGCCTGACAATGCAGTAGAAAAGAAAAACCCATTTTTTGAGGAGAAACTCAAGCTGGCTGCAGAAATTTGCATAAGTAACAACAAGCCAAGTGTTGATCCCCAAGACAAGGGGGAAAATGTCTCCAGGGCATGCCATAGGTCTTCATGGCAGCCCCTCTCATCACAGACCCAGAAGCATAGGAGGAAAAAATGGTTTCATGGGCAGGGCCCAGGGTCCCCATGCTATGTACAGCCTAGGGACTTGGTGCCCTGCATCCCAGATGCTCCCACTGTTGCTAAAAGGGGCCAAGGTACAGCTTGGTCTATGGCTCCAGAGGGTGCAAGCTTTAAGCCTTGACAGCTTCCATGTGGTTTTGAGCCTGCAGGTGCACAGAAGTCAAGAATGGAGGTTTGGGAACCTCCACCTAGATTTCAGAAGATGTATGGAAATGCTAGGATGCCCAGGCAAAAGTTTGCTGCAGGGGCAGGGCCCTCATGGAGAACCTCTGCTAGGGCAATGTGGAAGGGAAACGTGGGGCTGGAGCCCCCACACAGAGTCCCTACTGGGGCACTGCCTAGTGGAGCTGTAAGAAGAGGGCCACCGTGTTCCAGACCCCAAAATGGTAGATCCACCAACAGTTTGCACTGTGCATCTGGAAAAGTCACAGACACTCAGCGCCAGACTGTGAAAGCAGCCAGGAGGGAACATATACCCTGCAAAGCCACAGGGGCAGAGCTGCCCAAGATATGGGGACCTACCTCTTGCATCAGCATGACCTGGATGTGAGACATGGAGTCAAAGGAGATCATCTTGGGGCTTTAGAATTTGACTGCCCCACTGGATTTAGGACTTGCATGGGCCCTGTAACTCCTTTGTTTTGGCCAATTTCTCCCATTTGGAATGGCTGTATTTACCCAATACCTGTACCCCCATTGTATCTCGTAAGTAACTAGCTTGGTTTTGATTTTACAGGTTAATAGGTGGGAGGGACTTGCCTTGTCTCAGATGAGACTTTGGACTGTGGATTTCTGGGTTAATGCTGAAATGAGGAAAGACTTTGGGGGATTGTTGGGAAGGCATGATTGGTTTTGAAATGTGAGGACATGAGATTTGGAGGGGCCAGGGGTGGAATGATATGGTTTGGCTCTGTGTCCCCACCCAAATCTCATCTTGAATTATACTCCCATAATTCTTACATGTTGTAGGAGGGACCCAGTGGGAGATAATATGAATCATGGAGGCAGTTTCCCCCATACTGTTCTTGTGGTATTGAATAAGGCTCACAAGACCTGACGATTTTATCAGGGGTTTCCGCTTTTGTATCTTACTCATTTTCTCTTGCCACTGCTACGTAAAAAAAAAATTCACCTCCTGCCATGATTCTGAGACCATCGAGCCATGTGGAATTGTAAGTCCAATTAAACTTCTTTTTCTTCCCAGTCTTGAGTATGTGTTTATCAGCAGTGTGAAAACGGACTAATATAGCTGGCTTCGTAGACTGAATTGAAAAAAACTGCCTACTTTAATTTCTAAAAGGTATGTGTAAAATTGATGTAATTTCTAAATTATATGTTTGATACAATTCATCAGTGAAGCCTTCTGGACCTAGACTTTCCTATATTAGAAGGATTTTGATTACAAATTCAATTTCTACAATCAATATATGGCTGACCACATTTTCTATCTCTTCTCAGGTCAGTTTTCATAAGTTTTCCCTCTCAAGGAAATTGTTCATTTCATTTGCTTGTCAAACTTATTGACATGAGATTATCAATATTTCTTTTTGAGATCTAGAGTGTGTACTGATGTTCTCTCTTTTATTGCTGACCTTGTTAATGTGTATGTTTTTGTCTTGATCAGTCTGGCTAGAAATTTATAAGGTGTACGATTTTTCCCTATAGAACCAATATTTGGATTCATTAATTTTCTCTTTCTGCTTCAGTTTTTTATTTTATTATTATTTCCTTCCTTCTGCATGCATTGGTTTAATTTGTTCTTCTTTGCTTCTTACAGGAGAAACTAATTTACTAATTTGAGACCTACCTTCTTTCTTAATATAGGCATTTAAGGATATCAGTTTTTTCTTCAGTACTGCTTGTTGGGAACAAATGCTCAGTGTTGTAAAGAAAGATCAGCACTGAGACAAAGGATCTCTCAGCAAGGCAATTGACTTCTGCAGAAAGGATGCTACTTATGATGGAACGATGGCGAGTGCACACCTGAACAAAGGAGAGCAGGGGTTTTTTATAATCTCTTAATGCAGCTTGTCCCTGTAACTGTGTCTTGTCTCCATTGGCTGGAGCTGGACTGCACAATCTAAGCTGAACCTGGCTGGCTAACTTGAAAAGTGCAGGAATGTGGTTATACCAACAGAGAGTGCAGTCTTGGCGGGAGGAGCTGTTGCAACAGGAGGGTTAATCTATAGAGTGGGTAGCAGATGTGGGATGTGGTCTCCATAGATAAGGACTGGCGGGAAATTTGTTTACCAGGGCAGGGGATACAGAGCGTAAGGAAGTCTGGCCTTGAAAGCAGGGAACAAAGAGCCAGGATGCTGAGCAAGTTAACCCTTAAAGAGGAACTCTTTTTATATCTAACACTACTTCAACTGCATCCCATACATTTGATATGTTGTGCTTCAGTATTCTTCAGAAAACAGAAGACTTTCTAATTTCTCCTGTGATTTCCTCTTTGAATAAGTTGTTATTCAGAATTTTGATGTTTAATTTCCAATCCTTGGTATTTTCATGATCGTCCGTCTTAGTCAATCTGGGCAGTTATAAAAGAATTCCATAGTCTATGTGGCTTGCATACAACAGAAATCTATTTCTCACAGTTCCGGAGGCTGGGAAGTCAAAGATCAAGGCCTGGGAAGAGTCAGTGTATGGTGAGGGCTGCTTCCTGATTCATGGATGTTGCCTTTTCTTGGTGTCCCCACGTGGTGGAAGGAGCAAGCAATCTGGGGTCCCTTTTATAAGGGCATTCATTTTATTAATGAGGGTTTTGCCTTCACTGCATGATCACTTTCTAATGGCACAACCTCCAAACACCATCACATTAGAGATTAGGTTTCAATTATGAGTTTAAGGATGACAAAAGCATTCAGTCCCACAAGATCATCTTATTGTTACAGATTTCTAATGTATTTCCATTATGGCCAGAAAATATATTCTGTATGATTTCAATGTTTTCAAATTTATTGTTTTATGGCCTGAAATATGGTTTCTCCTGGTAAATGTATCATTCATACTTCAGATAATTTGTGTTTTTCATTGATGTGCATATGCATATAAATAAATTAAGTCTGGGTGCTTGATAATGCTTTTCAATTTTCTATGTCTTTGCTAAATTTTTCTTAGTTTTTGTATTTATAGCTGAAAGAAAGCTTTAAAATGTCTAACCATGTTTGTAGAATTCTCTACTTCTCTCTGTAATTTTGTCAATTTTTCTTCATGAACTCTAAAGATTTGCTATTGGATCCATTTCTGGTTGCATGTCTTTCTGTTGATTTTACCCTTTTGTTATTATGAAGCGCCTCTTTTTCTCTCTGGTAATACATATTATTTGAAAATCTTTTACTGGTAGTAAAATAACCATTTCAATCCTCTGTGCTTAATGTTTGTATGGCATTGCTTTTTTC
Organism: Homo sapiens; assembly: GCF_000001405.40. Lineage (NCBI taxonomy): Eukaryota > Metazoa > Chordata > Mammalia > Primates > Hominidae > Homo > Homo sapiens. Next base: position 1,666,699 of record NT_167245.2, read on the forward strand.
ATCAATTTTTATTTATCTGTGCCTTCATATTGAAATTGCATGTTTTGCATGCAGATGTATGTTCATTGCAGCACTTGTCACAATAGAAAAGACATGGAATCAACCTAAATGCCCATCAATGGTGAACTGGATAAAGAAAATGTGGCACATATGCACCATGGAACATTATGCAGCCATAAAAAAGAACGAGATCATGTACTTTGCAGGAACATGGATGGAGCTAGAGGCCATTATCCTTTGCTAACTAATGCAGAAAAAGAAAACCAATTGCCACATGTTCTCACTTATGAGTGGGAGCTAAATGATGAGAACATATGGACATATAGAAGGGAACAACACACACCGGGGCCTACTTGAAGGCAACGGGTGGAAGGAGGGAGAGGATCAAGAAAAATAATGAATGGGTGCTAGGCTTAATACCTGGGTGGGTACTAATAGGTACAGAAACTATATGACTGTGGGCAGCAAGCCACCCAGGTGCCGAGGCAAGAGACTGAAGGCACAAGCTCTTCCAGTATAATAAAGAAAATACTTAAAATAAAAATAGTTGTATTAGACATAAAATATAGATATGGTTATGTATAAATATTACTAATCATTAGTTTATGACATTACTCTTTATTCCAATATTATAATAATCTTTGTTCTACAATTATAACCTAGAAAAAACCAGGCCATACAGAGATAGGAGCTGAAGGGACACGGTGAGAAGTGAACAGAAGACAAGAGTGTGAGCCCTCTGTCATGCCTGGACAGGGCCACTAGAGGGCTCCTTGGTCTGGCGGTAACGCCAGTGCCTGAGAAGGCACCCATCACTCAGCAGATCGGGAAAGGGAGTCTCCCTTTGCCCGGGGGAGTTAGAGAAGCCTCTGCTCCACCACCTCTTGTGGAAGGCCCGACATCAGTCAAGCCCGCCCACAGCCATCTGGAGGACTAAACGTCTCCCTGTGATGCTGTGCTTCAGTGGTCACGCTCCTGTTTGACTCTCATGTTCCACCCTCTACACCTGGCTCAGCCTTCTAAATAGCAGTAGCAAAAATTAGTGAAAGTACTAAAGTCTTTGAAATACATAGAAGAAATAATGACATAAACTGTCCCCTCTCTCTCTCCGCCTCGGCTACCGAACAGGGAAGGGCCCCCTGTCTGGTGGACACGTGACTCACGTGACCTTACCTATCATTGGAGATGGCTCACACTCCTTACCCTGCCCCCTTGTCTTGTATCCAATAAATAACAGCGCAGCCTGGCATTCGAGGCCACTATCAGTCTCCGTGCCTTGGTGGTAGTGGTCCCCTGGGCCCAACTCTCTTTTCTTCTCTTTGTCTTGTGTCTTTATTTCTACACTCTCTCATCTCCACACACAAAGAGAAAAACCCACAGGTCCTGTAGGGCTGGAGCCTACATATGACAAACTCTCATGATACAAATTTACCTATACAAAAACCTGCACATGTACCCTGAACTAAAAATAAAAGTTAAATTAAAAAAAATAAAGTTCATGTCTTGAAAAGAGCATATGGTTGGGTTATTTTTTTTAATCCAGTCACAGAATCTCTGCCCTTAATTGGAGTGCTGATTTATGTAGGTTTTTGTCATTATTGATATGATAGGTTTTAGGTTTGTCATGTTATTTGCTCAGTTTTTCTTTCTCTGTTTCTCTTTTCCTGACCAATGATTTCTCATCAGAAACCAGAGAAACAAAATAAACTAGAATAACATCTTTAAAGTTCTGGAAGAAATAAAAGGTCAACTAAGAATTCTATATCCAGTACAGATGTCCTTCAAGATAAATGCAAAATAAGGAGATATTTCAGGTAAAAGATAATTAAGAGAATTTGTCACCAGCAGATCTGTACGATAAAAATTGGTAAAGAAAGTGTCTCAGGCTAAAAGCAAATGATACCAGGTGGAAAATGAGATTATCAGAAAAGATGAAGAATGTGAGAAGTGGTAAATATTAAGTGCGAAAGGCTATCTTGCTCCCCCACCCCCATTTAATCTTACTTCATATACATAGAACTGTTTAAAGGTAAAATAAGATAGCTTTCTGATGGGGCTTATAACCTATGTAAATATATTACATATAATATCTATGGCATAAAAGATGGACGTTTTATAGAGGATAAATGGTTGCAAGATTTCTATATTTATGTGAACTAGTACATTATTAACTGAAAGTGGGCTGTGAAATGTTAAGAATGAGTTAAGTTCTGAAGGAAATCAAGACACAAAAAAATTCAATAGATCAACAAATTCAGGAGATGATTTTTGAAAAAGTTAATAGGATAGATAGGCTGATAGCTAGACTAATAAGGAAGAAAAGAGAGGCGATCCCAATAAGCATAATTAGAAATGACAAAACAGATGTTACCACTGACTCTGCAGAAGTAAAAATAACCATCAAAAGCTACTATGAACACCTGTATGCACACAAACTAGAAAACCTACAAGAGATCGATAAATTCTTGGAAACATACACCCTCCCAGGAAGAAATTGATTCCTTGAAAGGACCAATAATGAGCTCCAAAATTAAATCTGTAATAAATAGCCTACTAACCAAAAAAAGCCCTGAACCTGATGGATTCACAGCTGAATTCTACCAGATGGACGAAGAAGAGCTGGTACCATTCCTACTGAAACTATTCCAAAAAATTGTAAAGGAGGAACTCCTCCCCAACTCATTCTATGAGGCCAGCATCATCCTGATACCAAAACCTGGCAGAGACAAAACAAAAAAAGAAAACTTCAGGTCAATATGTTTGATGAACATTGATGTAATAATCCTCAACAAGGTACTTGCAAACCAAATCCAGCAGTCCATCAAAAAGCTAATCTCAATGATCAAGTAGGCTTCATATCCAGGATGCAAGATTGGTTCAACACGTGCAAATCAATAAATGTGATTCATCACATACATAGAACTAAAGACAGAAACCACATGATTATCTTAATAGATCCAGAAAAACCTTTTGATAAAATTCAACATTCCTTTATGTTAAAAACGCTCAATAAACTAGGTATTGCAGGAACATACCTCAAAATAATAAGAGCCATCTATGACAAACAAACAGCCAACATCATACCAAATGGGGGAAGCATTCCCCTTGAAACCCAGCACAAGACAAAGATGCCTTCTCTCACCACTCCTATTCAACAGAGTATTGGAAGTCCTGGCCACAGCAATAAGGCAAGAGAAAGAAATAAGGGCATAGGGGAAGTCAGACTACCCCTGTTTGCAGACCATTACCAGTGAATGTTCCCTTAAGGCTCACAGGCTCTTATATCAGCTTGTGGTGAGTGCTGCTAACTAGTCTTTAATGGATTAAAATGTATAATGTGTTTCACTTGTGTATTAGTATGTTTTCACACTGCTGGTAAAGACATACCTGAGACTGGGCAATTTACAAAAGAAAGAGGTTTAACGGACTTAATGGTTCCACATGGCTGGGGAGGCCTCACAATCACGGTGGAAGGCAAGGAGGAGCAAGTCACATCTTGTGTGGATGGCAGCAGGCAAGAAGAGAGAGCTCGTGCAGGAAAACTCCCATTTTTTTAAAACCATTAGATCTCATGAGACTCATTCGCTATCACAAGAACAGTGCAGGAAAGACCCATCCAAAAATTCAATCACCTCCCACTAGGTTCCTCCCATGACAGGTGGGAATTGTGGGAGTTACAACTGAAGATGTGATTTGGGTGGGGACACAGCCAAACCATATCAACTTGTAAATTACTACAAAACTGTCAACACTTAGCCACTTCTGCTTCCTCAGGAAGGTCGGGGCAGCAGATCTGTGTGTTAAATATCTATGTGAAGTTATTTCCAGGAAGAAGTTTCATCTGTGGTTTCTTCTTCCCCAGGTCCCACAGTCTTCATTACAACCTCACGGTGCTGTCCCAGGATGGATTTGTATAGTCAGGGTTTCTCGCTGAGGGACATCTGGATGGTCAGCCGTTCCTGCTCTATGACAGACAGAAAGGCAGGGCAGGGGCCCTGTGGACAGTTGGCAGAAGCAGTCCTGGGAGCTGAGACCTGGGACACAGAGACCGAGGACTTGACAGAGAATGGGCAGGACCTCAGGAGGACCCTGACTCATATCAAGGGCCAGAAAGGAGGTGAGAGTCGGCAGGGGCAAGAGTAATGGCAGAGGCCTTCTCCAGGAGAGTTGGAGGCAGAGAGCAGGGACCTGTCTCTTCCCACTGGATCTGGCTGAGGGTGGGCTGAGAAATAGGGGTCAGTGGGGCTCAGCAGGGAGGTGAGCCGGCACTCAGCCCACACAGGGAGACATGGAGGAGGGCCAGGGAGGGGTCCCAGCTGGGCTGAGTTCCTCACTTGGGTGGGAAGATGAGGGGTTCAGGAATGAACTGCTGGGTGGGGGCAGGCTTGCATTCCCTCCAGGAGATTAGGGTCTGTGAGATCCATGAAGACAGCAGCACCAGAGGCTCCCGGCATTTCTACTATGATGGGGAGCTCTTCCTCTCCCAAAACCTGGAGACTCAGGAATGGACAGTGCCCCAGTCCTCCAGAGCTCAGACCTTAGCTATGAATATCAGAAATTTCTGGGATGAAGATGCCACACAGGCCAAGACACTTTCACCCTGTGATGGCAGACCGTCTGCAGAAACTACAGTAACATCTCGAATCCTAGGAGGGCATCAGGAGAACAGGTACCGACCCTGGGCAGGGGCTTTCCTCTCCCCCATTTCACTAGAGTCACTCCCCTGCCAGCTCTGTCCTGGGAAACCCTCTCTGTGCTATGGATGCAGGCGTTTCCTGTTGGCGTATTGTGTCCTGACTTTCCTCTCTTGTTAGAGCCACTGGATAAAGACAGTGGGTTGGGGACTGAACCATCCAGTGTTGTAATCTGGGAAAGCAATGGCCCACTCCCAACAGAATCCTCACCCTGGGGTGGGTGTTAGGCAGGAGAGGAAGCCCTCAGGGCTAGGGCTGCCCCCTCTGCCTCCCAGCCTGCCCATCCCAGAGAGTTCCCTCCTGGCCTCATGACCCAGGAGTCCAATCCTGACATCCCTCCCCTTCAGCATCAATGTGGGGATCTCAGAGCCTGAGGCCATAGTCTGAGGCCCATCCTCCTGCCAGCCCAAAGGAATTGGGCCCCAGGGTAAGGACAGACTTGCAAAAGATCCGGGGTCCATGAGGGCTTCAGCCAGAGTGAGAACACTGGAGAGGAGCAGCCCTGTTCCCTGAGTCTCCCTTAGAGGGAGCGGGGCTTGGCCATGTGCCTCACTGGCTCTGCCCTTTCCTATCCAGTGCCTACCATGGTGAATGCCAGGCCTCAGAGAACAAAGTCACCCCCACATGCTGGGCTTCCGGCTTCTATCCCCAGAATATCTCTCTGGCCTGGTGTCAGGTTGGGGCATTTTCTGAGCCAGGATGCCCATCGGTCTGTGGGTGTCCTGCCCAATGGGAATGGGACCTACCAGACCTGGGTGGCCACTAAGATTCCCCAAGAAGAGGAGCAGAGGGCTACCTGCTATGTGGGACACAGCAGGAATCACAGCACTTACCCTGGTGTCCTCTGGTGAGCCTGGGGCGACCCTCAAGTGTTCTGACCTAGAAAGGGTCAGGCCAAGGTGGGCACAGCAGAGATAACTGGAACTCTGAGTGCCCAGTGTGCAACAAGGCCCTTTTTTTCAGGGAAAGCCCTGATGCTTCAGAGTCTATGGCAACCGTTCCGTATGTTGCGGCTGCTGCTGTTTTTGTTATCATTATTATTATTCTCTGTGTCCTTTGGTGCAAGAAGAAAATATCAGCTGCAGAGGACCCAGGTGAAAAAAGGGGGCAGTGGCTGGAGATGGGAGGGACCCTGTCTGGGCAGTAGGGTCCCCTCATAGCTCCTGCACAGACAGGCATGTAGGTGACAGGGCTTTGGAACAGGGTTTGGAAGTTGGGGTATTTGGGAGGGGAATAGGAGCTACAATTTCATCTAGACCCCTAAGTCCTGCCCAAGCCAGGGCCAGGCCAAAGCCCTCGAATGTCCATCTGTGGCCTCCTCTTGCTGCAGGTGAGGAGTGGGCAGCAAGGAGGGCCGTGGCACCTGCTCTGTCCTCATCCCCATCCCTCTGTCTCTCAGGCTCACCAGCGTGCATCAGCGTGGGGTGAGCTGGGAATCATGTGCTGATTGCTGAGGGCCTGGATGATGATGGCTTCAGAGGGGGCAAATAGTAAAGACGGCTGTGATCTGGGGAGGGCTAGAAACTGGAGAGGAATATGAGGAGAGGTGGTGCCTCTAGTCCCTTCCTCTCTGCATCCCCCTCCCCTGTTTCTCCAGCCATCAGGAGGACACCAAGAAAAAGACCTATGAGGCCCAGACTGGGGGGCCTGCCTGTGCAGCCCCTTGGAGACCCCCTTGTAACAGGGAGGGTTCTGAGTGCACACAGCCATCTTTGTCCACTTTGTAGCTCCCCACGCGCCTCCTCCAGGAGCTGTCTCGGGGGTGTCGTGTCTCCTGGATCACTCGAGGCCATGCTCTTTCCAGGTTCCCACCACATGGCCCTGCACCCTGAGTTCCCTTGCAGATAATATGGATGAGAAGATACGCAGATGTCTCTGGGCCATTTGGGGAGTGGTGACCAGCCCCTTGTCAGGGCAGCTGTCATCCCTGTTTTCATCCTACTTCTAGGTGTTTCCTTGTCCAGGCCCTGAAGGACACAGTCCCTCAGGGACACAGTGCTCAGGGACCATGTTTTTTGGGCTTTGTTCTGTGCTCTGTGGCCTCACCTTGCCCTCCCTGAGCCTTTCTCAAGGTGGTCACTTTCCTGTAAATTTGGAGTAAAGGATGGTCAGGATGATTTCCCCCACAGTCAGTTGTTTGAGGGGAAAGTAAAAGAGAAAACAGGAAGTTTTGTGTTTCTGCAAAGACAGAGGCAGTGCAGGGGACAGTGAGAGGCTGGGTGTCCAGGAAACTGGAGTCTTTCTGCCATTTCCCCACTTTTTTGCACCTGGTGGTGGGGGTGGGGGTTTTTCATCCTTGAACCTAATTGCACTGTCTGTTGGCCCCTCAGTCCTGGGCAGATGGGAAGGTTCATCCCCTGCCCTGCAGCAAGAGGGCCCCGTCCAGGAGGCACCCACAGCAGGGGCAGTGCAGGTTTGTGGTCGCTCCTGCTTTCACCTGCACTGTCTCCTATAGAGGGGTTGTCACTTCTGGGTCCCCGTGGGCAGGAAAGTTTGCCTTGTAGGTCACGGGGCATTGGCCAGGGAAAGGGTGTGAAAGTCATGTGCTAATTTCTCAAAAATTCTCCTTTAAATATTGATGTCCAATAAAGATGTTCACAATTTCCGCTGGATAATCTTAATAGGATTTCCTCTAATATTGATGTTGTAAAGCATGTACAATCAAATGAGAAGTCAAGCTTGGAGCTTCCTCTCCAGGAGGGTCCATGTTGGAGATGGTGGTTGTGGCAGTGGCAATCCTGGAGTGCAGAGGGTGGGTGGAGGCAGCCTCAGGCTGAGGGGTCTCCAGAAACCCCCTGCTCCACAGGGAGAAGAAGAAGATTCCCTGTGGGCTGTGAGGGCAGTGGCCTGGGTGGAAGCCCTGCTAGGAACAGGGCAGGAAGGTCTTGCAGCCTCAGCAAGCAGCAGCCCTGGGGTGGAGGTGCATTTCCAGGGGTGAGTGGACCAGGCAGGAGCAAGGATGGCCCAAGTGCAGGTCACGGACCCGGGTGGGTGCTGAGGGTCTGGAAAGGTTGGGTGTCCTCAAGCGTGGAGGGTCCCAGGATCCAGTCAGGTGCAGACCCGGTGGCAGCCACGTGTTTTTGTGCCGAGCCCCCAGGCTTCTTGATGGGCTCTGCAGTTAGGGGCTGGCTGCTCAGGGCTCGGAGGGTGGAACGCTGAGCTGCAGGTGGAGCGGGGAGCCCAGTGTGCAGGGTCTGCCCTGTTGTGCAAGTGCCTCTGTAGGTGAGGAGGGCCTGGGGACTGAGAGGGAGAAGGACCGCGTGCGTGACCCAGCCCAGGCCTGGTAGGACACGGAGCTAGGACCATCCTCTCTTTGGGGAGGTTTCCCACTGTGTCTAGGCTGGTGGGGCTTGGGAGGAGGGGAGGGCCCCGGGTTCCCTCCTGGATCTGATTCTTGTCCTTTAGTCATGAGGCCCTTTCATTCCCCACATGGTGGATGGTGGGCACAGGGCAGGTATCATTGTTGAGGGAATCACAGGAGGAGACTGGTGGAGGCTGGAGAAACTAGGATGGGAGGGAGGAAAAAGTGGGGGCGTCAGTTCTTCCCTCAGAGAAAGGGTGAATCTGATTTCGGAGTTTCTGAGGAGGGAGAAATCCTCAGGGAATGAAAAGCAGCACTCTGCACCCAGTGGAGCATTTACTGTTTCTCTCTTTTCTCCAGAGCACATGAGCCTACGAAGCCCAGATCAACACCTGGTTGGGACAGGAGACCACCAGGGCACCATACAGCTGGAATTTCAGTCTCTGGTGCCAGCTCCTGGGTCTGCTGGCTCCACTGGATTCAACTCCCTACCCAGGTCTCACCAGCACTTTCCCTCTTGATGCCTCAGTTTCCTCATATATTAAATGGGAAACTAACAGCACTTATTTCTTGTGGTCAGGGATTGACAACTGTTAGTTGCTATGAGGTGTTTGCAGCTGTGCCATAATATTCGGTATTATTATTTTTGTTGTTTTGTTATTATCTTATTAACTTTTATTATCTTTTAATGTATTGTATGTGCAGTAATTACATGCACAAAAGCACATATGTGCCTTTAAACACATTGTATGTGCATAAAAGCTTTATGAGTGTGTGTCCTGTTGACGGTTCCTCCTGGCAAGCCTGGGACCAGCCTTTTTGGCACCTTGAGGTCCCCTCACCCTTCGCACACTGTTATAAATTACCCCATGTCTACTATGTCTGCATAATTTTATACTGTGGATTTTTACTCTTTAAATAGACATTTCTGGCCTGTGCTTTATTTCATGCATCTGGGAAGAGTAGAATACAAGGTTCAGGGGAAAAGGAGAGGTCTGTCTCAATGCCTTGACACAGCATGAAGAAATCTCTCCCTCTTCCTACCTCTCCCTGCCAGTTCCCAGTGATTGACAGATTCACAGCAAAACAGAAAAGGAAAGGTTGGGGGTGGGGGTGCACATCTGGGGCCAAAATTCAGGGGCTGACTCTGGGGGAACATCTGCCCTGAAGAGTTGGATCCTTCATGTGATGATGTTGAGCTGAAGTGTAATATCAGAGATGGGGGCAGAGAGGGCTTTGAGTTTCCCTGGTATTGAAGAATAGGAGTCAGACTGCTTCTGGGGTGAAGCGACTGCTGGGAACATGTGAACCAAATTGATGAAGAATAAGTGAATGGGGAATGTGGGTGAGTAAAGCAAGCATCAGCAGTCAGTTTCTGCCATCAGTTCAGGCTGATCGGGGTAGGGAGGTGGGGAGATGGATATTCCCCACCCTGTTGCTCAATCCTTCCTGACTGCTGGGTGCACCAAAATCTCAGAAATCACCACTAAAGAATTAATTCAGGTAACCAAACACCACCCACCCCTAAAAACCTTGAAATAAAAAATAATTTTTTAAAAAAGTGGCCGGGCACGGTGGCTCACGCCTGTAATCCCAGCACTTCGGGAGGCCAAGGCGGGCAGATCATGAGGTCAGGAGTTCAAGACCAGCCTGATCAACATGGTGAAACCCCATCTCTACTAAAACGACAAAAATTAGCTGGGCATGGTGGCACATGTCTGTAATCCCAGCTACTCAGGAGGCTGAGGCAGGCGATTCTCCTGAACCTGGGAGGCGGAGTTTTCAGTGAGCCGAGATCGCACCACTGCAGTCCAGCCTGGGTGACAAAGCAAGTCTCCATCTCAAAAAAAAAAAAAAAAAAAGGAATGATATTGGATATCCTTATTTTGTCCCCAACACAGAGGAGTAGTTTTCAATATTTTTCTCATTAATTTTGACTTTAGATAGAGGTATTTCTTTTTTATAAATAACTTTATTAGCTTAAGGAAGTTCTCTTTTATTTCTGGTTTATTGAGTTTTTATAATGAATAGTTGTTGAATTTTATCAAATGATTCTCATGCATCTGTTGACATAACTGCACGTTTTTCTACCTTTTTCTATTCATGTGGTAAATTACTCTGATTTTTTAAAGTCACATTTCTCTTATAAATCCCATTCAGTCCCATTGTACATTATCCTCTCCATATATTACTTGCTTCTATTTTCTAATATTTTAGATGGAATTTTGGTGGCTGTGTTCATCAGTTCATTCAGATGGTGGATATCTTTTTTGTAATGTCATTGTCATGTTTAAGTTCTTCTCTGGGCTATGTTGTCTCATAAAATTAGTTGGAAGGTGTTTACTCTTTTTTTATTATCTAAAAGAATATATGATAGTCTGCCCTCCATGTCTGTGTGTTTCACATCTGTGAATTTAACTACCTGAGGATCGAAACTGTTGTTGCTGCTGATGTATACTATGTAGTTAGGCCTACCTACAGCGGTTACATCTGTACTGAAGATATATAGACTTTTTCTTATCATTATTTCCTAAACAATATAGTATAACAACTATTTGCGAATAATTTACATTGAATTAGGTATTAGTAATCTATAGGTGATTTAAAGTATATGGGAGGATGTGCATAGGTAATAAGCAAATACTAGACCATTTTATACATGGGACCTGAGCATTCATAGATTTTGGTATCCACAGGGGGCCCTAGATCCCATCCCAAAAGGATACCAAGAGATGACTGAATAAGACTGACTTTTTTAAAAAAAGTTTTGGAAGAATTGACAGGGGAAAAAACGTGGGCAAAGAGTGTTTTTGGTGGGAAAGAATTTAATTAGAATCCCATTTCTTAATGGATATAGGACTACTTATATTTTCTATTCAGTTTTCTGTTGGCTTGTTCAATTGTCGTTTTCAAGAACTCATTTCATTGCACCTAAATTTTAAAAGGTATTGTCAGGAAGTTGTGTCTAATATTCTCTTATTTTCATTTTAATAAAATATACGGTTTTATGTTGTTCTTTATAGTGTTCATTTCTGTTTTCTCTCTTTTTATGATTGATCTTTCTGGGGATTTTGAAATAGTTTGCCCATCTTTCCCTCTATTTTCCTTAACATATTAATCATAAATACTTTGAGAATGTTCTTGCTTGCCTGCTTCAATATCCACATCAACTCTTAGCCTGATTTTTTTTATTATACTTTAAGTTTTAGCGTACATGTGCACAACATGCAAGTTAGTTACATATGTATGCATGTGCCATGTTGGTGTGCTGCACCCATTAACTCGTCATTTAACATTAGGTATATCTCCTAATGCTATCCCTCCCCACTTCCCCCACCCCACAACAGTCCCCGGTGTGTGATGTTCCCCTTCCTGTGTCCACGTGTTCTCATTGTTCAATTCCCACCTATGAGTGAGAACACGAGGTGTTTGGTTTTTTCTCCTTGCGATAGTTTGCTGAGAATGATGGTTTCCAGTTTCATCCATGTCCCTACAAAGGACATGAACTCATCATTTTTTATGGCTGCATAGTATGATAGACTGGATTAAGAAAATGTGGTACATATACACCATGGAATACTTAGTCTGATTTTATCTCTACTTGTTGCATTTTCTCTGCTGCTTGGCATGCCACATATTCTGGATGATGTGTTATAGAGGCTCTGGATTTTGCCATCTTCCTCCACAGACTGCTAACAATTTGATAGTTCATTAATTATAAAAGAATTACCTTTGGTAAAAATCGGACCCACTTTGATTCTGCTTAGGCTTGATTTTATTTTATTTTATTTTATTTTATTTATTTTTTTGTTATACTTTAAGTTTTAGGGTACATGTGCACAATGTGCAGGTTAGTTACATAGGTATACATGTGCCATGCTGGTGTGCTGCACCCACTAACTCGTCATCTAGCATTAGGTATATCTCCCAATGCTATCCCTCCCCCCTCCCCCCACCCCACAACAATCCCCAGAGTGTGATGTTCCACTTCCTGTGTCCATGTGTTCTCATTGTTCAATTCCCACCTATGAGTGAGAATATGCGGTGTTTGGTTTTTTGTTCTTGCGTTAGTTTACTGAGAATGATGATTTCCAATTTCATCCATGTCCCTACAAAGGACATGAACTCATCACTTTTTATGGCTGCATAGTATTCCATGGTGTATATGTGCCACATTTTCTTAATCCAGTCTATCATTGTTGGGCATTTGGGTTGGTTCCAAGACTTTGCTATTGTGAATAGTGCTGCAATAAACATACGTGTACATGTGTCTATATAGCAGCATGATTTATAGCCCTTTGGGTATATACCCAGTAATGGGATGGCTGGGTCAAATGGTATTTCTAGTTCTAGATCCCTGAGGAATTGCTACACTGACTTCCACAATGGTTGAACTAGTTTACAGTCCCACCAACAGCATAAAAGTGTTCCTATTTCTCCACATCCTCTCCAGCACCTGTTGTTTCCTGACTTTTTAATGATTGCCATTCTAACTGGTGTGAGATGATATCTCATAGTGGTTTTGATTTGCATTTCTCTGATGGCCAGTGATGGTGAGCATTTTTTCATGTGTTTTTTGGCTGCATAAATGTCTTCTTTTGAGAAATGTCTGTTCATGTCCTTCGCCCACTTTTTGATGGGGTGGTTTTTTTTTTCTTGTAAATTTGTTTAAGTTCTTTGTAGATTCTGGATATTAGCCCTTTGTCAGATGAGTAGGTTGTGAAAATTTTCTCCCATGTTGTAGGTTGCCTGCTCACTCTGATGGTAGTTTCTTTTGCTGTGCAGAAGCTCTTTAGTTTAATTAGATCCCATTTGTCAATTTTGGCTTTTGTTGCCATTGCTTTTGGTGTTTTAGACATGAAGTCCTTGCCCATGCCTATGTCCTGAATGTAATGCCTAGGTTTTCTTCTAGGGTTTTTATGGTTTTAGGTCTAACGTTTAAGTCTTTAATCCATCTTGAATTGATTTTTGTATAAGGTGTAAGGAAAGGATCCAGTTTCAGCTTTCTACATATGGCTAGCCAGTTTTCTCAGCACCATTTATTAAATAGGGAATCCTTTCCCAAGGCTTGATTTTAGACTTTGCTACTTTGCTATTTCAGTGTGGTACTTACTCCAAGGCCACGGCCCTCACTCATAGTGCTTCACCATCCTCATGTCTCAACCCGGGTTTGGCTGGGCTAAATTAATTCCAATATCTCCTCACACTATGAAGCCTTTGGCATTTCTACATAGCATGCAATCCCCAAGCAGCTGTTCTCTGGTGGGCTTCTTACAGTATCACCTGGAGCATATGCAGCTTTGGAGTGCAGATTTTGGGAGTTTCTTCGCTGTAGCTCCCTCCTTCAGCACCCTACCCTTAAATCCCAGTCAAAGTGCCAAGCCTGAACTCTGATCTCTGATTCCTTTGCTACTGAGATTGATTCTCTCTGCTTGGGTTCCATTTCCCTTCATTGAATTTTGAAAAAAATCCTCTTAGAAAGAAAGCTGATGAGGATGTGAGTCTCTCTTTCAGGGACTCCATTCCCTGGAGGGTGATAGTCCTGCTCTGGCTGCTGTTTTGCAGCTGCACAACTGCATCGTGTTTTGTCTGGCTTTTATACTTGTTTACAGTGGGAGGATGAGTTTTAAATGAGCTAGTCTATCACAGTTCAAGTCAGAAGACCTCTAATCCTTCAATAGTCATTGCATTTGAAAATCTGAATAGGGTAATTTGACAATTCACAGGCAAAGTTAATATGTTATATCTTAGTGCCCAGTTGAAACCTCAATTTCATCTTTAACAACCTTATACACACAAAATACACACACACACACACACACATCACTGTGTTATACAGTCATGCACTGCTTAATGATGTTTCTGTCAATGATTGATCACGTATACGACTGTCATCCTATTAAACGGAGCTGAAAAATTCCTATCACCTAGTGACATTGTAGCCATTGTAATGTCATAACACAATGCATTAATCATGTGCTTGTGGTGATGCTGATGTAAATAAACCTACTGCACTGCCAATCCTATAAAAGTCTACCCCATACAGTTAAAAACAGCATGTAATACTTGATGATAATAAATATGTTACTGGTTTATGTATTTACTATACTTTTTATGGTGATTTTAGAGTGTGCTCTAATTATTTTTTAAGTTAAATTAAAACAGCGTCAGGCAGGTCCTTTAGGAGGTATTCCAGAAGAAGGCATTGTTATCACAGGAGATGACAGTTCCATGCTTGTTATTACCTGTGAAATAACAGTGGGACAAGATGTGAAGGCTGAAGTTGGTGATATTGTTGATCCTGACCCTGTGTCAGCCTAGGCTAATGTATGTCTTTGTTTTTACCAAAAAAGATTAAAAGGTTAAAAAATTAAGTAGAAATAGTTTCTAGAATGAGAATATAAGGAAAAATATTTTTGTATAGCTGAATAATGTGCTGGTGTTTTAAGCTAAGTGCTATTACAAAATAGTTGAATTTTTTAAAAAATTAAGGTTTATAAATATGAAAAAGTTCAAGACTTGAACTCAGCTTTGGATCAAGTGGATCTGATAGACACCTACAGAGCTTTCCACCCAAAAACAACAGAATATACATTCTTCTCATTGCTACACAGCACCTACTCTAAAATTGGTCACATAATCAAAAGTAAAACACTCCTCAGCAAATGCAAAAAGAACTGAAATCATAATAAACAGTCTCTCAGACCACAGCACAATCAAATTAGAAACCAAAAGTAAGAAATTCGCTCAAAACCATACAACTACATGGAAATTGAACAACCTGCTCCTGAATGACTGTTGGGTAAATTATTAAATTAAGGCAGAAATCAATAAGTTATTTGAAGCTAATGAGAATGAAGAGACAATGTATCAGAATCTTTGGGACACAGCTACAGCAGTGTAAAGAGGGAAATTTATAGCACTAAATGCCTATATCAAAACACCAGAAAAATCTCAAGTTAACAATCTAGTATCACAACTAAAAGAACTAGAGAAACAAAAACAAATCCCAAAGCTAGCAGAAGACAAGAAATAACCAAGATCGGAGCTGAACTGAAGGAGAGAGAGACACACAAAACCCTTCAAAACGTTAATGAATCTAGGAGCTGTTTTTTTGAAAGAATTAATAAAATAGAACACTATCTAGACTAATAGAGAAGAAGAGAGAGAAGAATCAAATAAACAAATCAGAAATAACAAGGGTGATATTACCACTGGCCCCACAGAAATACAAACAACAATCAGAGAATACTACGAACACCTCTATGCAAATAAACTAGAAAATCTAGAAGAAGTTGATAAATTCCTGCCCACATACACCCTCCCAAGACTGAACCAGGAAGAAATTGAAACTCTTAGCAGGCCAGTAATGAGTTCTGAAGTTGAGGCAATAAATAGCCTACCAACCAAAAAAAGCCGAGGACCAGACAGATTGATAGCTGAATTCTATCAAAAGTACAAAGGAGAGCTGGTACCATTTTCACTAAAACTATTCCAAACAATTGAAAAGGGGGGACTCTTCCCTAACTCATTTTAAAAGGCCAGCATCATCCTGATACCAAAACTTGGCAGAGATATAACAAAAAAAGAAAACTTCGGGCCATGCATGATGAACATCAATGCAACAATCCTCAATAAAATTCTGGCAAACCGAATCCAGCAGCACATCAAAAAGCTTATTCATCACAATCAAGTTGGCTTCATCCCCAGGATGCAAGGTTGGTTCAACATACACAAATCAATAAATGCGATTCATAACATAAACAGAACTAAAGAAAAAAACCACATGATTATCTCAATAGATGCAGAAAAGGCACTTGATAAAATTCAATATACTTTCATGTTAAAAACTCTTAATAAACTAGGTGTTGAAGGAAGAGATCTCAAAATAATAAGGGCAATATATGACAAACCCACAGCCAATATCATACTGAATGGGCAAAAGCTGGAAACATTCCCCTTGAAAACCGGCACCAGACAAGCCTCTCACCACTTATATTAGTTTCACCATCATGAGAACAGCAGTTTCTTAAGCTGATAAGGAACTTCAGCAACGTCTCAGGATACAGAATGTGCAAAAATCGCTAGCATTCCTATATACCAACAACAGGCAAGCAGAGAGCCAAATCATCAACTCCCATTCACAATTCCTACAGAAAGAATGAAATACCTAGGAATACAGCTAACAAGGGAAGTGAAGGACCTCTTCAAGGAGAACTACAAACCACTGCTCAAAGAAAAATCAGAGAGGATACAAACAAATAGGATAACATTCCATGTTCATGGATAGGAAGAATCCATATCATGAAAATGGCCATACTGCCCAAAGTAATTTGTAGATGTGATGCTATTCCCATTAAACTATCATAGACATTCTTCACAGAATTAGAAGAAAAAAAAACACTATTTTTTTTTTTAAGATAGAGTCTTGCTCTGTCACCCAGGCTGGAGTGCAGTGGCGTGATCTCGGCTCACTGCAACCTCCGCGTCCCCAGGTTCAAGCGATTCTCCTGCCTCAACCTCCCAAGTAGCTGGGATTGCAAATGCGCACCACCACGCCCAGCTAATTTTTGTATTTTTAGTAGAGATGGGGTTTCACAATGTTGGCCAGGCTAGTCTTGAACTCCTGACCTCATGATCTGTCCACCTCAGCCTCCCAAAGTGCTGGGATTATAGGCGTGGGCCACTGCGCCTAGCCTGAAAAAAAAAACAAAACTATTTTTAAATTCATATGGAACCAAAAAAAGAGCCTGAATAGCCAAGACAATTCTAAGCAAAAAGAACAAAACTGGAGGCATCACATTACCTGACTTCAAACTATACTACAAGGTTACAATACTAAAACAGCATGGTACTGATACAAAAACAGATACATAGACCAATGGAACAGAATAAAGAACTGTGAAATAAGATCACACACCTACAACCATCTGATCTTTGACAAGTCTGACCAAAACAAGTAATGGGGAAAGAATTCCCTATTTAATAAATGGTGCTGGGAGAACTGGCTTGCCATATGCAGAAAATTGAAACTAGGCCCGTTCCTTAAACTATATACAAAAATTAATTCAAGATGGATTAAAGACTTAAATGTAAAACCCAAAACTATAAAAACGCTAGAAGAAAATCTATGCAATACTCTTCAGAACATAGGCATGGGCAAAGATTTCATGATGAAGACTCCAAAAGCAATTGCAACAAAAGCAAAAATTGACTAATGGAATTAATTAAACTAAAGAGCTTCTGCACAGCAAAGGAAACTATCAGCAGAGTGAATAGACAACCTGCAGAATAGGAGAAGATTTTTGCAATCTATACATCTGACAAAGGTCTAATATCCAGAGTTTACAAGGAGCTTCAGCAAATTTACAAGAAAAAAACAAACAACCCCATTAAAAAGTAGGCAAAGGACATGAGCAGACACCTCTCAAAAAAAGACATACATGCAGCCAACAAACATATGAGAAAAGTTGAACATCACTGATAATTAGAGAAATGCAAATAAAAACCACAATGAGATACCAGAGTGGCTATTAATAAGTCAAAAAACAAGAGATGCTGGTGAAGTCACAGAGAAAAAGCAATGCTTTCACACTGTTGGTGGAAATGTAAATTCGTTCAACCATTGTGGAAGACAGTGTGGTGATTCCTCAAAAACCTAGAGGCAGAAATTGACCTAGCAATCTCATTACTGGATACATACCCAAAGGAATATAAATCATTCTATTATAAAGATATATACACGCATATGTTCATTGCAGCACTATTCACAATAGCAAAGACATGGAATCAACATAAATGCCCATCAATGATAGACTGGATAAAGAAAATGTGGTACATATACAACATGGAATGCGATGCAGCCACATAAAGGAATAAGACCATGTCCTTTGCAGGGACATGAATGGAGTGGGAAGCCATTATCCTCAGCAAACTGACCCAGGAACAGAAAACAAAACACCATGTGTTCTCACTTATAAGTGGGAGCTGAATGATGACAACACATGGATACATGGGGGAGAACAACACACACTGGGGTCTGTTAGAGGGCATGGGGCTGGGGGAGGGAAGCACCAGGAAGAATAGCCAATGGATGTTGGCCTTAATACCTAGGTGATGGGACGATCTCTGCAGCAAACCACCATGGCACACATTTACCTACGTAACAAACCTGCACATTCTGTACATGTACCCCTGAACTTAAAAAAAGGGTGGAGAAAAAAAGATTAAAAAGTTACAGTAAGCTAAGATTAATTTATTATTAAAGAAAGAAAATGATTTTTAAAATTAATTTAGTGTAGCCTAAATGTACAGTGTTTATAAAGTCTAAGTAGTGTATAGTAATGCCCTAGACTTCACATTCACTCGCCACTCACTGACACCCAGAGCAATTTCCAGTCCTGTAAGCTCCATTCATGGTAAGTGCTCTAGACAAATGTGCCAGTTTTTAAAAAATCTTTTAACCACATTTTTGTGGCAAAATTTTGTGGGAAAATTCAAAGTCTTTTTTCTACTGTTCTTACACCCCAACAACTATCAACACAGAAGGCTTCTGCGATGAAATGTAGGGGATTTCTCCCCAAAAACAAGCAAACAATTGGTTCTGTTATGGACGCCAGCTGGGTATCCTCTAACTCAATTCTGACACTATCTCCCTGGAGATAATTTTAGATCCCGCAAGTTGATGGCTCAGTCCTCACGACTGTCACCCTCTCACTTCTGATGACAATCTCAAGCCCCAGATTATTTTGCCTGTGTTGCTAACTCACTGACTATAAATCAGGGTTCCCAAAACCCACCCTCAGGTTTGATTGATTTGCTAGAATGGCTCATAGCATGCCAGGAAACACTTACATACATTAACCAGTTTATTTAAAAGGATATTTTAAAGGATAAAGAGCCACATGAAGAGATAAGAGCCACATGAAGAGATACATAGGGTGAGGTCTGAAAGGGTCTTGAGTGCAGGAGCTTCTGCCCCATGTGTTTGGGAAGTGCTACCCTCCCTGGCACATGTCTGAGTTATTGTTCACCTTCCTATAAGCCTCCCTGTGTTCAGCCATACAGAAGCTCTCTGACTCTTCCCTTTTGGGTTTTGATGGAAGCCATATTTCTTAGGCATGATTCATTACATCATGGCCATCAGCTTAACCTTCAGCCTCTCTTGCCTTCCTGCCAATGGTATAATCCTATGTCTAAAAAAATCTAAAGATGCCACCAAAAAACAATTAGATCCAATAAATAAATTCAGTAAAGTGGCAAGATGCAAAATCAACATGCAAAAATCAATATAATGTCTACACATTAGTAATGAAGTAGCTAAGAAAGAAATTTAAAAGCAGTCCCATTTATGATAGCGACAAAAACCCCCCAGAAAAACAGGAATAAATTTAAGCAAGGAAATGAACAATCTCTTTACAAAAACCTACACAACACTGGGGAGCAGTTCCAAGATGGCCAAATAGGAACAGCTCCAGTCTATAGCTCCCAGCGTGAGCCATGCAGAAGATGGGTGATTTCTGCATATCCAACTGAGGTACCAGGGTCATCTCACTGGGGCTTGTCGGACAGTGGGTGCAGAACAGTGGGTGCAGTGCACCGAGCATAAGCTGAAGCAGGGCAAGGCATCGCCTCACCCAAGAAGCACAAGGGGTCAGGAAATTCCTTTTCCTAGCCAAGCAAAGCTGTGACAGACGGCACCTGGAAAATCGGGTAGCTCCCACCCTAATACTGCGCTTCTCCAATGGTCTGAGCAAATGGCACACCAGGGGATTATATCCTGCACCTGGCTCGGAGGGTCCCAAGCCCATGGAGCCTCCCTCATTGCTAGCACAGCAGTCTGAGATCAAACTGCAAGGTGGCAGCAAGGCTGGGGGAGGGGCGCCCACCATTGCTGAGGCTTGAGTAGGTAAACAAAGCGACCGGGAAGCTTGAACTGGGTGGAACCAACTGCAGCTCAAGGAGGCCTGCCTGCCTCTGTAGACTCCACCGCTGGAGGCAGGGCATAGCCGAACAAAAGGCAGTAGAAACCTCTGCAGACTTAAATGTGCCTGTCTGACAGCTTTGAAGAGGGTAGTGGTTCTTCCGGCATGGAGTTTGAGATCTGAGAATGAACAGACTGCCTCCTCAAGTGGGTCCCTGACCCCTGAGAAGCCTAACTGGGAGGCATCTCCCTGTAGGGGCAGACTGACACCTCACACGGCCAGGTACCCCTCTGAGACAAAACTTCCACAGGAACGATCAGGCAGCAACATTTGCTGTTCAGCAATATTCACTGTTCTGCAGCCTCTGCTGCTGATACCCAGGCAAACAGGGTCTGGAGTGGACCTCCAGCAAACTCCAACAGACCTGCAGCTGAGGGTCCTGACTGTTAGAAGGAAAACTAACAAACAGAAAGAACATCCACACCAAAACCCCATCTGTACGTCACCATCATCAAAGACCAAAGGTAGATAAAACCACAAAGATGGGGAAAAAACAGAGCAGAAAAATTGAAAATTCTAAAACTCAGAGTGCCTCTCCTCCTCCAAAGGAATGCAGCTCCTCACCAGCAACGGAACAAAGCTAGACGGAGAATGACTTTGATGAGCTGAGAGAAGAAGGCTTCAGACGATCAAACTTCTCCAAGCTAAAGGAGGAAGTTCAAACCCATTGCAAAGAAGTTAAAAACCTTGAAACAAGATTAGACGAATGGCTAACTAGAATAACCAATGCAGAGAAGTCCTTAAAGGACCTGATGGAGCTGAAAACCATGGCAGGAGAACTACGTGATGCGTGCACAAGATTCAGTAGCCGATTCAATCAACTGGAAGAAAGGGTAACAGAGATTGAAGATCAAATGAATGAAATGAAGCAAGAAGAGAAGTTTAGAGAAAAAAGAATAAAAAGAAATGAACAAAGCCTCCAAGAAATATGGGACTATGTGAAAAGACCAAATCTACGTTGGCTTGGTGTACCTGAAAGTGACAGGGAGAATGGAACCAAGTTGGAAAACACTCTGCAGGATATTATCCAGGAGAACTTCCCCAACCTAGCAAGGCAGACCAACATTCAAATTCAGGAAATGCAGAGAATGCCATAAAGATACTCCGTGAGAAGAGCAACTCCAAGACACATTAATTGTCAGATTCACCAAAGTTGAAATGAAGGAAAAAATGTTAAGGGCAGCCAGAGAGAAAGGTTGGGTTACCCACAAAGGGAAGCCCATCAGACTAACAGCGGATCTCTCAGCAGAAACTCTACAAGCCAGAAGAGACTGGGGGCCAATATTCAACATTCTTAAAGAAAAGAATTTTCAACCCAGAATTTCATATCCAGCCAAACTAAGCTTCATAAGTGAAGGAGAAATAAAATACTTTACAGACAAGCAAATGCTCAGAAATTTTGTCACCTCCAGGCCTGCCCTACGAGAGCTCCTGAAGGAAGCACTAAACATGGAAAGGAACAACTGGTACCAGCCACTGCAAAAACATGCCAAATTGTAAAGACCATCGATGCTAGGAAGAAACTGCATCAACTAACAAGCAAAATAACCAGCTAACATCATAATGACAGGATCAAATTCACACATAACAATATTAACCTTAAATGTAAATGGGCTAAATGTTCCAATTAAAAGACACAGACTGGCAAATTGGATAAAGAGTCAAGACCCATCAGTGTGCTGTATTCAGGAAACCCATCTCATGTGCAGAGACACACATAGGCTCAAAATAAAGGGATGGAGGAAGATCTACCAAGCAAATGGAAAACAAAAAAAGGCAGGGGTTGCAATCCCAGTCTCTGATAAAACAGACTTTAAACCAACAAAGATCAAAAGAGACAAAGAAGGCCATTACATAATGGTAAAGGGATCAATTCAACAAGAAGAGCTAACTATCCTAAATAGATATGCACCCAATACAGGAGCACCCAGATCCATAAAGCAAGTCCTGAGTGACCTACAAAGAGACTTAGACTCCCACACAATAATAATGGGAGACTTTAACACCCCACTGTCAACATTAGACAGATCAACGAGACAGAAAGTTAGCAAGGATATCCAGGAATTGAACTCAGTTCTGCACCAAGCGGACCTAATAGACATCTACAGAACTCTCCACCCCAAATCAACAGAATGTACATTCTTCTCAGCACCACACCGCACTTATTCCAAAATTGACCACATAGTTGGAAGTAAAGCACTCCTCAGCAAATATAAAAGAACAGAAATTATAACAAACTGTTGCTCAGACCACAGTGCAACCAAACTAGAACTCAGGATTAACAAACTCACTCAAAACCGCTCAACTACATGGAAACTGAACAACCTGCTCCTGAATGACTACTGGGTACATAATGAAATGAAGGCACAAATAAAGATGTTCTTTGAAACCAATGAGAACAAAGACACAGCATACCAGAATCTCTGGGACACATTTAAAGCAATGTGTAGAGGGAAATTTATAGCACTAAATGCCCACAAGAGAAAGCAGGAAAGATCTAAAATTGACACCCTAACATCACGATTAAAAGAACTAGAGAAGCAAGAGCAAACTTTACATTCAAAAGACAGCAGAAGGCAAGAAATAAGTAAGATCAGAGCAGAACTTAAGGAGATAGAGACATAAAAAACCCTTCAAAAAATCAATGAATCCAGGAGGTGGTTTTTTGAAAAGATCAACAAAATTGATAGACCGCTAGCAAGACTAATAAAGAAGAAAAGAGAGAAGAATCAAATAGACACAATAAAAAATGATAAAGGGGATATCACCACCGATCCCACAGATATACAGACTACCATCAGAGAATACTATAAACACCTCTACGCAAATAAACTAGAAAATCTAGAAGAAATGGATAAATTCCTCAACACATACACCCTCCCAAGACTAAACCAGGAAGAAGTTGAATCTCTGAATAGACCAATAACAGGCTCTGAAATTGAGTCAATAATTAATAGCTTACCAACCAAAAAAAGTCCAGGACCAGATGGATTCACAGCCAAATTCTACCAGAGGTACAAGGAGGAGCTGGTACCATTCCTTCTGAAACTATTCCAATCAATAGAAAAAAGGGAATCCTCCCTAACTCATTTTATGAGGCCAGCATCATTCTGATACCAAAGCCTGGCAGAGACACAACAACAAAAAAAAGAATTTTAGACCAATATCCCTGATGAACATCAATGCGAAAATCCTCAATAAAATACTGGCAAACTGAATCCAGCAGCACATCAAAAAGTTTATCCATTGCAATCAAGTTGGCTTTGTCCCTGGGATGCAAGGCTGGTTCAACATATGCAAATCAATAAACATAATCCATCACATAAACTGAACCAATGACAAAAACCACATGATTATCTCAATAGATGCAGAAAAGGCCTTTGACAAAATTCAACAGCCCTTCATGCTAAAAACTCTCAATACACTAGATATTGATGAAACGTATCTCAAAATAATAAGAGCTATTTATGACAAACCCACAGTCAATATCATACTGAATGGGCAAAAACTGGAAGTATTCCCTTTGAAAACTGGCACAAGACAGGGATGCCGTCTCTCGCCACTCCTATTCAACATAATGTTGGAAGTTCTGGCCAGGGCAATCAGGCAAGAGAAAGAAATAAAGGGTATTCAATTAGGAAAAGAGGAAGTCAAATTGTCCCTGTTTGCAGATGACATGATTGTATATCTAGAAAACCCCATCATCTCAGCCCAAAATCTCCTTAAGCTGATAAGCAACTTCAGCAAAGTCTCAGGATATAAAATCAATGTGCAAGAATCACAAGCATTTCTGTACACCAATAACAGACAAACAGAGAGCCAAATCATGAGTGAACTCCCATTCACGATTGCTGCAAAGAGAATAAAATACCTAGGAATCCAACTTACAAAGGATATGAAGGACCTCTTCAAGGAGAACTACAAACCACTGCTCAACAAAATAAAAGAGGACACAAACAAATGGAAGAATATTCCATGCTCATGGATAGGAAAAATCAATATCGTGAAAATGGCCATATTGCCCAAGGTAATTTACACTTTCAATGCCATCCCCATCAAGCTACCAATGACTTTCTTCACAGAATTGGAAAAAGCTACTTTAAAGTTCATATGGAACCAAAAAAAAAGCCTGCATTGCCAATACAATCCTAAGCCAAAAGAACAAAGCTGGAGGCATCACGCTACTTGACTTCAAACTATACTACAAGGCTACAGTAACCACAACAGCATGGTACTGGTACCAAAACAGAGATATAGACCAATGGAACAGAACAGAGGCCTCAGAAATGACACCCCACATCTACAGCCATCTGATCTTTGACAAACCTGACAAAAACAAGAAATGGGGAAATGATTCCGTATTTAATAAATGGTGCTGGGAAAACTGGCTAGCCATATGTAGAAAGCTGAAACAGGATCCCTTCCTTACACCTTATACAAAAATTAATTCAAGATGGATTAAAGAATTAAATGTTAGACCTAAAACCATAAAAACCCTAGAAGAAAACCTAGGCAATACCATTCAGGACATAGGCATGGGCAAGAACTTCATGACTAAAACACCAAAAGCAACGGCAACAAAAGCCAAAATAGACAAATGGGATCTAATTAAACTAAAGAGCTTCTGCACAGTAAAAGAAACTAATATCAGAGTGAACAAGCAACTTATAGAATGGGAGAAAATTTTTGCAATCTACCCATCTGACAAAGGGCTAATATCCAGAATCTACAAAGAACTTAAACAAATTTACAAGAAAGAAACAAACAACCCCATCAAAAAGTGGGCCAAGGATATAAACAGACACTTCTCAAAAGAAGACATTTATGCAGCCAATAGACACATGAAAAAATGCTCATCATCACTGGTCATCAGAGAAATGCAAATCAAAACCACAATGAGATAGCATTCATGCCAGTTAGAATGGTGATATTAAAAAGTCAGGAAACAACAGATACTGGAGAGGGTGTGGAGAAATAGGATCACTTTTACACTGTCAGTGGGAGTGTAAACTAGTTCAACCATTGTACAAGTCAGTGTGGCAATTCCTCAAGGATCTAGAACTAGAAATACCATTTGACCCAGTGATCCCATTACTGGGTATATACCCAAAGGATTATAAATCAGGCTACTATAAAGACACATGCACACATATGTTTATTGTGGCACTATTCACAATAGCAAAGACTTGACACCAACCCAAATGTCCATCAATGATAGACTGGATTAAGAAAATGTGGCACATATACACCATGGAATACTAAGCAGCCATAAAAAAGGATGAGTTCATGTCCTTTGCAGGGACATGGATGAAGTTGGAAACCATCATTCTGAGGAAACTATCACAAGGACAGAAAACCAAACACTGCATATTCTCACTCATAGGTGGAAACTGAACAATGAGAACACTTGGACACAGGGCGGCGAACATCACACACCGGGGACAGTCATGGAGAGGGGGCTGGGAGAGGGATAGCATTAGGAGAAATACCTAATGTAAATGACGAGTTAATGGGTGCAGCAAACCAACATGTATACCTATGTAACAAACCTGCACATTGTGCACTTGTACTCTAGAACTTAAAGTATAATAAAAATAAATAAATAAAATTAAAAAGGAAAAAATATATATGTAGAATATATATAATATATGTATTTATTTATTTATAGAAAGAGAAATTGAAAAAATTCTGAAAATAAATGATAATGGAAATGCAACATACCAAAACCTAAGGGATACAGTGAAAGTAATACTAAGAGGGAAGTTTATAGCTATAAGTAGCTACATCAAAAAAAAAAGAAAAACTTCAAATAAACAATACAACAATGCATCTTAAATAGCTAGAAAAGCAAGGGAAAACCAAACCCAAAATTAGTAGAAGAAAAGAAATATGAAGATCAGAACAAAAGTAAATGAGTTTGAAATGAAGAAAACAATACCAAAGATCAATGAAACAAAAAGTAAGTTTTTTGAAAAGTTAAACAAAATTGACAAATCATTAGCCAGACTAACAGAAAAAGACAGAAGACCCAAATAAATAAAATCAAACATGAAAAAAGAGACATTACAACTGATACTGCAGAAATTCAAAGGATCATCAGTGGCTACTATGGGCAACTACATGCCAATAAATTGGAAAACCTAGAAGAAATGGGTAGATTCCTAGATACATATAACCTACCAAGATTGAATGGTGAACAAAATCCAAAACCTGAACAGACCAATAGCAAGTAATCAGATAAAAGTCATAACAAAAAGTCTCCCAGCAAAGAAAAGCCCTGATGGCTTCACTGCTGAATTCTACCAAACATTTAAAGAAAAACTAATACCAATCCTGTTCAAACTGTTCCAAAAAATTCAGGAAGGAATACTTCCAAAATCATCCTACAAGGGCAGTATTACCCTGATACCAAAACCGGACAAAGACACATCAAAAAAAGGAAGCTATAGGCCAATATTACTGACAAATATTGTTGCAAAAATCCTCAACAAAATACTAGCAAATAAAAATCGACAACACATTAAAAAGATCATTCCTCATGACCAAGTGGGATTTATCCTAGGGATGCAAGGATGGTTCAAAATATGCAAGTCAATCAATGTGATACATCATATTCAACAGAATGAAAGACAAAAACCATATAATCATTTCAATTGATGCTGTAAAAACAGTCAATAAAATTCAACATTCCTTCATGATAAAGACTGTCAAAAAACTGAGTATAGAAGGAACATACCTTAACATAATAAGCCATTATGTACAACAAACCCACAGCTAGTATCATACTAAATGAATGGGGAAAAATTGAAGGCCTTTCCTCTAAGATCAGTAACACAACAAGGTTGCCTGCTTTCACCACCGTTATTGACCATAGTATTGGAAACCCTAGCTAGAGCAATCAGACAAGAGAAAGAAATAGAAGTCAAATTATCCTTGTTTGCAGATGATATAATCTTATATTTGGAAAAATCTACAAGACTCCACCAAAGAACTATTAGAACTGATAAACAAATTCAGTAAAGTTGCATAATACAAAATCAACATACAAAAATCAGTAGTAGCCAGGTACAGTGTCTCATGCCTATAATCTCAGCACTTTGGGAGATAGAGGAGGGTGTATCACTTGAGCCTGGAAGTTTAAGACCAGCCTAGGCAACTTAGGGAGACTGCATCTTTACCAAAAAAAAAAAAAAATTGTAATTAGCTGAGTGTGGTGACATGTGCCTGTGGTCCCAACTACTTGGCAGGCTGAGGTTGTAGGTTGAGACTGCAGTAAGTTGTAGTCATGCCACTGCACTCCAGCCTGGGAAATATGGCAGACCCTGTCTCTTAAAAAAGAAAAATTAATAAGGCGTGATAGTGCATACCTGTGGTCCCAGCTGCTCAGGAAGCTGAGGCAGGAGGACCACTTGAGCCCAAGAAGTCAAAGCAGCGGTGAGCTGTGTTCATACCACTGCACTCCAGACTGGGCGACAGAGCAAGACCCTGTCTCAGAAAAAAGGGAAACCCTGGACATTCCTACACCTGAGGCCTCTTCAATGGCTGCTGCCAATGACTTTGGCCACAAGGGATGATGTATGAAGGAAACATGGGCCCTGAAATAAAATTGGTCTGAATTTGAACATGGCCTTTACCATTTTTTTATTACTATGGACAAATTACCCTCATTACTGAGCATTGGTTTCTTAATATATAAACTGGGAGTAATATCCCCAATTAATAACAATGGGACATAGCAGGATGGGGTTGCCCTTTTCACCCTTTTCATCCCTCCTCTCACTCACTGGATGAGAGTTTCTACACAATAATCAATTGGTGCTGTGCTGTGCTGTGTCACTTTGCATCTGCTCATGAGAGGATATTTTGTCTTTAAGATGCCTACTCTAAAGATATGAAGAGCTAGGAAAATGGTAATTGCTGCCCTTAAGCAAGCACTTGGTGCAGTGGCAGAACAAAGTTGGAATTTTGGGGTTGGGGTAGACAAGGAAAGAGGGCTGCAGACTTAGGGAAGAAGAACACCTTGTTGGCCATGTGAGGAGCATCCAGCACTTGCTACAGTTAGTGGGAGCAAAACAGTACAGAGATAGGTAAATCATGCTGTGGACTGTGAGTATATTCTTGATCAGCCAGTGATTATTCCACTCTCTACTGCCTTTAATTGGAGATCTACATTAAGCTACACACACAAACACACACACAGCTTATCTGGGTAGGGATGAATAAGAAAACCGGTCCTTTTCACAAAGATCTGCAGCTGAAATTCACATCATCTGCATGGTCCAAAATGGGAATCCACTGATGCTGTAAGTCCATCCAGCCTAGTGGAGCATAGTGTGGGCTAGATAAGGATGATATGAAATAATGAATGCAAAACACCAGCACAGGAAGCGGAATATGGCACATGTGCAAAACACTGCCCATTCCTTGTAAAGCCAAAATAGTATGTATTTATTTAAAGGACCTGGGTCTTCGAGTCAGACAGACCTGGATATCCTGGGACTGCTCTGATCAGCATGACATACAGAAAGCTATTTGAGGCTTCATAGAGCTCAGTTCTTTGTCTGTAAATACTTTCTTTTGTGTGAAAATTAAATTAAATAGCAATAGGGCTTGTAACACATTTGACACAATTGCTGGTACTGCAATTTGTGGTGCTAATGACAACGTTAGTGATGATGATTTTCTTCTGTAGGGCACCATGTTCTCTAGGGAATGGTGAATTCTAGAGGCCAAGTCTTACCCTAAAGTTCCATGTCACCCTATGAAAAAGCATTTGGGATAAAACAGGCTTTTGAGTCCCTCTAAAAACAGAGCATGTGAGTAGTTGGTATGGGGATCCGAGTTGGGTTGGGGAAAGAGGCAATTATTTTTATTCCCTTCAGTATGTTCTATCCTCTCTGATATTTCTAAATTATCTACACTTTCTCCATCAACATTCCCTTTTTAATTTGTAAATATAACTTTTTCTCATTATAATGTAATATATATTCACTGCAGAAAAATTACCAAATATTTCAAATGATCAATTACAAATTTAAACTATCCCATGATCCTTACAGCAGAGATATGTGGTTTCATTTCCTTCTAGTCAGTTATATATTTTCCTGCTGCTGCCCCATTACTGGATGTGTGCCATTCTCTCTCTCTCTCTATCTCTCTCTCTCTCTCTCTCTCTCTCTCTCCCACCCCCAAAGTTATGACCACAGACCTCAGTGGCCCACAGCCCTGCACTCTCCAAATGCCATCTCCCAGGTCAGTTCACTCTTACAATTCCTCAGGGGGCTGTTTCTCACTTTGTTCTCTGCCCTCACATCCCTCCACTCCTTCCACACTCCCTATTTTTAGGTTATACATTTATTTCTCTTTCACGCAGGAAAAAAAGGAGGACCCAGGTGAGAAATGCATCACCATCCCATTACTATCCCCAAATCTGCACTTGTATCCTCAGCCTTCCCACCAGTGATGATGGATGATCCCCGCTCCTAAGACCACCCCTGCACTCAAGCATAAGATCAATCCTTCCTTCCCCTATATCATCAATTTCCACTCTCTACTGGCCCATCATTTCTACAGGCAGACGTGCTGTAATATCTCCCCCCAAAAAAACAAACAAAACTGGACTAAACAAATCAAAACAAAATCTTCCCATCGAAATTTATCCCTTGATCTCTGATCCCATGTCTCCCTGCAACTACTGCCCTATACTATGGCAGTCTTCATAGGACAATCTCTGAGTCTATTCTTCATGTAGTCTTTTGAAACATTGCATTTTTTGTTGTTTGTTTGTTTGTTTGTTTTTTTGATACGGGGTCTCCTTGTGTTGCCCTGGCTGGTCTTGAACTCCTGGGCTCAAGCAATTCTCTTTCCTTAGCCTCCAAAGCACTAGGATTATAGGCTTGAGCCACCACACTTGGCCTGATAGTATAATGTTCTTACACTTTTTCTTTCTTTTTTGCAAACATTTTTCCATTTTATTATGACTTTTGTCTTCCAAATTATCTAATGAATTGTTCATTTCTATGATTCTGTAATCACATTTTTAATTTCCAGAGCTCGTTCTTGTGTATAATTTTACATAAATGAGTTCCTATTTCATAAATGCCACTTATTTTCTTACATCCTTTATATATTATTGATAATAGTAGCAGGGGACTTGTTGGGTCTCCTTGTTATCTTCTTTCACGATATTATGAAATTTTCTCTCAGAATTCATAAATGTAGTGGTTTCACATTTATCTTGGTAATTTTTGCTAAATGTCCGTCTCTCTCATGACAGTGCAAGCTCCATATCATCAAGATCTTACTTTAGCTCTTCTTCTATCTTCAATGTCTAGCTAATATCTTGATTCACCTTG
Organism: Homo sapiens; assembly: GCF_000001405.40. Taxonomy (NCBI): domain Eukaryota; kingdom Metazoa; phylum Chordata; class Mammalia; order Primates; family Hominidae; genus Homo; species Homo sapiens. The sequence continues at coordinate 1,697,033 of NT_167245.2, forward strand.
AAATATACACCGGATGATGGACTTTAGTGTGGTGTGGGCAGTGAAGTCACACATGCCCTTTTGTCCTCCCGAGCTCTAAGCCTAGCAGCTGCCTGTCATAGAATGTTCACGGACATTGAAATGGTTCACTTGCATGGGGTGCAGAGTCACACTCACCTACCTTATGGGCAGAGCATCAACAAAAGATGAGTCAATTAGGTGTCTGAGAGAAGATCTCCTGGCTTCAATCCAGCTTCACCACCTCCTCAACCTCTCTGAGTCACATAGTAGATTCCTGATGGGTTTTCTCTGATGATTAAATTATATATTGTCTATGTATTATACACATTATTACTGACTGAGACATATTAAGTGTCCACAATTCATAGCTAACATCATATTGATTATACTATTTTGGTTGTTTTCATTCTTTTGTTTTATAAACGATAATTCAAGGAATATTCTTGTTATATATTTTTAAAAACGTGTGATTTTCTTCTTAGGCTACATTTTTAGAAGATAAGTTTTTTGCATCAACATGATCTTCTTGAGACATTTTCCAAAAATGCTCTTTAGACACTGGGGTGTTTTTTCTTTGAGATGGGGTCTCACTCTGTTCCTCAGGCTGGAGTGCAGTGGTGTGATCACAGCTCACCGTAGCCTTGACCTCCCCGGCTCAGGCGATCCTCCTGGGACTACAGGAGGGTGCCACCATGCCTAATTTTTTTTGTATTTTTTGTAGAGATGGGGTTTCGCCATGTTGCCCTGGCTGGTCTGGAACTCCTGGACTCAAGCAATCTGCCCACCTCAGCTTCCCAAAGTGCTGGGATTACAGGCATTAAGCCAACATGCCTGACTCTTTAGAAATTGTATGCCAGTATTTAATCCCATCAACTTTTATGACAGTAAATTTCCCCTATTCTCCACTCAATATTATTATCTTTGACTTTCATCTTTGCCAAGCTAAGATATATTAAACTTCCATCCCATTTCCTAATCCACATTTTAATTTTGTTGACATTTACTTATTACTATTATATTTGACACTTGCATTTTCTATGCCAAATTATGCTCTAATATTCATTAATCCTTTTCCAAATGGGACGTAGATATTTTTAAATGTTGAATTTAAGAAAGAAAACAAGAAGCCTCTGATATCTAGGAACTGATCTGACACTTATGGCTGGGACTCCTTGTTATATGAAGCTGGCCCAATGTTCATTGTTAAGCCATGTTATTCTCCTATTGGACCACAATCACCACAAAACACCAACATTAGAAAGTTCACTCTGAGATGATGATAAAGTGAGGAAATACAAGAACACTTCATAATTTTGTCTAAGCACTCTCTCCACTAATACCAGGGGCTGATGCTTGTCTACCAATTACAGCTTTATTCTGCTCTAGTCCACCCTCACTAGAGCTAAGATTTGTTGAGACATTCAATTACAGAATTGCCCCTGCTTCCTGACGAGTACCCAATCTAGAGTGAAGCCCACTTCCTCACCCTCCCCAGGATCACCCAACCAAAGCCCAAATCCTTTAAGAATTTCTTTCTAACACCCTCTTACCAAAACACCACATGGCTCACAGCACCTATTCTTGCACTCAGGAACCAGTAATAAACCCAACTTCTTCACCCACTAGGATATGTTCCTAGTGGACTTTGGAAGAAAGCTTCGGACGCATTATTATTTTGTCTATAAATTTTTTATGTGTCTTTGAGGTTGATTATGAGAAACTGTCTGTATATATCTATGTTTGTGGTTACCAAAGAGAAGTTTTTTAATTTATAAGTACTTAAAACTACCCTCATACTTCTTTATGGTGTTTATTTTTAGGTCATGCTTAGAGAATCCTTCTTCACTGCCCAATTGTAGACACTTCATGTATTGTTCCAGCTAGGTTGTGACAATGAGGAAAGAGGAGTCCAAGGGTGAAGAAAACAAAATTGTTGGAATACAAGGGGAGGAGGGGCAGCAGGTAAAGAATTCTAAGGTTTAAGTCTCTTGTTTTATAATTTAAAAAATATGTCTACAGAGCCTTCAGCATACTTGACATATGTCATATCCAATAGTTTGTCTTGAGAAAAATGGATACTTATCTTCTCCTTGTATTCACCTGGTTAAAGCAAACAATAACAACAGAATTCCAGTGCAATATAGACAATGATTAGCCCTGGCAATGGGCATTTTTGAACACTTAAAATGTTGAGGTGATAAATCATGTTTCGGTTAATGTCTGTACCCTCCACTTATACATATACATATTAATTAGACTTTCGTGGGCTTGCTGTGTTTTAAGGACGTGTCTAAGGCCCATGTGGACAAATCCGTGACTTCTCGATGAAGATAATTTAATATATATTCAATCTGAGAGTCCCACCATATATTTTGGGGGAGATTGAAAACTATGAGCACTCTAGATATGCACTGTTAAATATGGTAACTACTGGGCATACATAGTGTAGGGTTTGTTTTTGTTTGTTTGTTTTCATTATTAGTACAAATCCATTCAATGGGCAAGATAGACCAATCTATTTTAACATAACAGAATACAAATAGTCAATGATAGGGTTTCAGGTTGTATCTAACCTTTAAGAAATTATCACTTGCTAGGACTTCCAGTACTATGTTGAAAGAAGTGGTGAAAGTGGGCGTCCTCGTCTTGTTCCAGTTCTCAGGGGGAATGCTTTCATCTTTTCTCTGTGCAGTATAAGGTTGGCTGTGGGTGTGTCATAAAGGGCTTTTATTACTTTAAGGTATGTCCCTTCTATGCTGATTTTGCTGAGGCTTTTAATCATAAAGGGATGCTGGATTTTATCGAATACTTTTTCTGCATTTTATTGAAACGATTATTTCAGAGAGAGAGAGAGAGAGGGAGGGAGGGAGGGAGAGAGAGAGAGAGAGAGATGGGGTGAAGGAACAGGCTGGGAACCTGGGAGGAGACCCGGCCGCAGGCGCGCAGCCTGGAGGCGATGGTGAGCCCTGCCACGCGTGAGTCACGGACCACCCCCGCCGCGCTCTGCTCCCCGCCTGGCTCTCTTCTTCCCAGCCCCTCCCTTCCTCCTCCTGCTCCACTGATCCCTACTCAGGCTTCTTTCGCTGAAGAATTCCAGAAGGGACAGAACTAAGGATGAAGTGTGGCATTTGAACAGGGTTTACGGCTAGATCCTAGGAGGTCATTCTAAGGGTTTACATTGCATCACCGTCTGTGGTTACAAAGAGCTTTCCGGGAGAACTTTCCATTTGTAGGTTTGGTCAGGGAGACCCTGTGATCACCCCAGTGCCCAGAGAAGGAAACTGAAGCCCAGGGTTCTGCAGAGGCTTGCCCAGGCTACACAGATCTTCAGCTAGATTCGAATAGTTAAAAATCCAGGTGATCAAAGGCGGAGCAGCGTCTTCCAAGAGCCCGGAGAGAGAGGACACCCCACTCCTGGACGTTATATTCTGCAGCCCGCTGCTGGGAAATCCCAAGGGGTATGCGACCAGGTTGGAGTATCCTGGGCCCAGGGCCCACGAAAATGGCTTTCACTGTTGGAGGGGATCTTGAATCCAGAATCTGTTCCCAAAAAAGAGAAAGAAAAGCAGATTTGGGTGACCTCAAAAGTTTCAAACTACCTTCCCACGTATCCTAAAAAAAAAAAAAAAAAAAAAAAAAAAAAAAAAAAAAAAAAAAAAACCTTCATTTTTAATATATAAAGACACTGAAAATTCAACAGTTTAAAAAAATCAATAAAATAGGAAAGTGGACAAAACACATGACAAATATTTCTTTTAAAATGATATGTAGATGGGAAGTGAGGACACAAAAATGTGGTCCATATGCGGAGCTTGCAGTGAGCCGAGATCGCGCCACTGCACTCCAGCCGGGGCCACAGAGCGAGACTCCATCTCAAAAAAAAAAAGAAAAAAAAAAATGTGGTCCATATGATTCATCATTGGGGAAATGTAATTAAAACCATTATGAGATATTACTACACCCCTATCAGAATGAATAAAATAAGAAATAGAAATAACACCACATGCTGGATGTGGAGAAAATGGCTGAATCACTCATTGCTGGTGGGAATGTAAAATGGTACAGCCACTCTAGAAACTAGAGTATGGCGAAAAAAAAAAAAAACTAAACATGCCATTGCACTCTAGGGCATTTATCCCAGAGAAATGAACACTTAAGTTCACACCGAAATCAGCATACAGCATATAAAGGTTCGTAGCAGAGCAGAGACCTGAGCAGGAAAAAAAAAAAAAAAAAAAAAACCCACTGTCACAGCCAGACAGAATCAGTTCTGGAAACTCCCAAAAGAACTAGAAGCCACCAAGACCGGCAGCCCACCTTGGGCAGTGACAGTTTCTGCTCAAGGGAGACACAACCTGAAGAAGGAAAACAAGACCAAAATTGAGAAGCAATCTTTTAATCACAGTGTTTGCAAACACATAGCCAGGAAAGAATGTTAGCACAGAGGTCAGAAAGGCAGTCACTCATGGAGCTAGGAAAGGGAAGAGGTGTGATGGGAGGGGGCAAGCAAGGCATTTGTGGGACACTGGACAACTGTGCTTCTTGACCTAGGTGGTGCTTGTGTGGTCATAGTCGCTAGTTAAATATTGTGTACATTTGTAAGTAACTTTTCTGCATATATTTTATATCTCACAAAAAAAGAAAAGAGATCAGACTCCTCCCAGAAAAACAATGAAAGAAGGAGGTGTCACACCAAGATCAGTCAAACCTCCTTCCTACATTTGTAAATCCATCCAAGCACTAGCTCTGTGACCCTCAGATTCCTCATCTCTATTGAGACTCAGCATCTGCAAGAGTTTAAGAACAAGACCATGGGTAGATCATACTGTCATAAAATAGAATCTGTTTCTTGTGATACAACATGAGGGACCCCACCTCACCCCCCAAAATAGGTACTGAACAAAGGTTCCTATTCCCAGAAACCCCCTCTTCCATCTTTGGATTCATCCCTGAGATTGCAGAATGCTTCTGGCTGAAGGCAAAGCCCCATCTTTATGATTCCCCTCCTCCTTCGTCCACCTCTCCAAGATGTAGGCTTCTCCCTCATGCCTCAGACTCCAGGGCCTGTTCCAGGGTCAGGATCATAGTTCCCTTCTTCAGAGAGGAACTCTTAATGAAGCTGACCCAATTTGCTCTGGAGAGCACTGGAGGCACCTGCTAAGCCTCTCCCTTCAGTGGAGAGAAATTCCAGTGGAATCCCAGAGACCCTTGGCAAACCCACTGCAGACCACCCTGCTGAACCCATCTCCACACTCACCACTGCAAGGAAACTTCAAACTGAGTTCTACTAAAAAGCAATTTCGGCTCTTACACTTCCTCTTTAGTGTTCTTCTAGCTTACTAGGCAAGTAACCACAGTGTGCCTCCATTAATTAATAAATCCCCAAAACACTGGTCTTATGAACAGTGTATTGATCAGGGCTCTCCACAGAAGCAGAATGAATAGGCGACATATATCTCCAGTTGATCTGATGAGGCCCACTCACATTATGGAGGGCAATGTACATTAGTCAATTCCACTGATTTAAATGTAAATCATTTTTCGAACACACTCATGGGAATACCTAGAATAATGTTTGGCCAAATATCTGGGCTCCTTCGTGACCCAGTCATGTTGAGAAATCAAATTAATCCTCACAAGGAACAAATCAGATAATATTCACTTGGATATTAGACTAGAGCCTTGGACATACCAAGTGCTCTGTAAATGTTAGCCTTACAAATGTAAGGTGGTGTTTTAGATTTACAGAACACAGTATATCCTAAGGTATCACAGGCTTGTTGATGAACTCTGTTGGGAAAAATAATACATGGGAAATTTAGTTGTGGAAATTGAATTTTGTTATTTTATTTTTGTCTTTGCTTTTCTGTGTGAGTGAAGGAGTATAAGGCAAATTTCTGAGCACACGGGGCATGCACTAAAGGGGTTTCATTTGGCATTTGGAGCCAGTTTTGTCACACTATAGGAAAACTAAACCGTTATTTAAGAACTTCCCTGCCAGCTCTCACGTTGGGGACTGGCTGGTCCATCTAGCCTGGTTGGTTGATTCCAAAAATATGTGTAGGGAGGTAGAGTGACTAAACGTGAAGAATGGGGAACTCTGGAAGTGCAGAATTGAAGCCCAGAAGGGAACAGAAGCCTCCCTCTACTTCACAGAAGATGACTAGGACATGCTCATCCCTGGGATAGAAAATCCATTGGACTTGGAGACTCAGTGAGTTGTATTCCCGATCTCACCACTGGAGGGAGGTGGGAGAGGCATATGAGTGAGTGTGGAGGGGCTCAGAAGCCCAGCCAGCTAGTGTGCAGGTTGCCCTGCAGATTCTCACCAGGGCTGCTCTGAAGCCCAGAGGGCACCCCAGAGGAGGAAGGGAATGACAAAGCCTGCCTGGGGTCACAGGAAAAGAGGAGAGAGGCAGACTGAAGGAAGCCCAAGACTACAAAGTGAAAGAAAATGCCTTTTAGTCACTCAAGACATTGTCAGACACAGACTGGGAGCAGTGGCTCACACCTATAATATTAGCACTATGGTAGGCTGAGGTGAGGCCGGGAGTTCAAGACCAGCCTGGACAACAATGCAAGACCCTATCTCTACAAGAAATAAATTAATAAAAGACTTCTTCGGACATGACTAGAACCCAAGAGGTGGGTACCTGGTAGAGTTATATGGGAAGAATGGAGCAATGGGTTTGGCAGTTGGGGTGGGGAAACAGGGAGGAAGGGAATGAAAAAAACTCTTGAGGGTAGATGATGGTGCCAGTCTGAGAATCAAGCACCAGTTCCATTCTACTGTGCATCTAGTCACGTTGGCATAGACTTCCAGGCAGGAGGAGGAGCAAGCGGTGGGATCAGCTACATGTGGGCTTCCAAAGGTAATCCCAGGTGCCACCTCTCCTCCATACTTACTAGGAATCCCAGGCCCTTCCCTGAAGTGACACCATCCTGCATTCTTTGTACCTCTCTTTCCACTTCTTCTCACAGCTTTTCCCTCCCTCCTCCATTCTCCTGGCCAGGACCCACACTCACCCCACCTAACCTCTCTCTTTTGATCAGTCCCATAGTTCAGAAAGGAACAGAAATGCCAGCTGAATAAAAATTTATTTCGTGCTCTCTGGGCATGTATTTGAGAACAATAACATTGTTTCCGGTCTCAATGCACTTTCACCACATCTGATTTTCAGCTATGTGGGGAAGGCCATCTATCTGATCAACCCATCACCCAGTGAAGGAAACTGAGGCCCAGAGCCCTGAGGATGCTTGCCCAAATCACCCTGCCCTTCAGCTAAATCACCCAGAACAGGATCTTGCAAGGGCCCTAAGAGTCAGAGAAGACAGCAGCCCCTCGTGTTGGATTCTCCTGCCTGCCCAGGAAACTGGGTGGGAACCATTCAGATTCTTCCTGCATGAAAAGGGTGACCTGTGTCCTTGGGGATCCTCCAGTGGCCCTAGTTGCTCCTGCTGGGGATGACCTCAACTCCTGAATCCAACCCTGTAAAATAAGAAGAAATTCAGACATTGCAAGGCATGAAAAATTTTCTCCCAATAGCAAAGGTGAAGGATGTACTCGGAGAGGAGGGAACATACCAAGAAGAGAAGGAAGGAATATATATTGAAAAGAATACAAAACAAAAATAAACAGACCAAGACGTGGGATGTATAGAATCAGGCATCAACCCATGAAAAGGTGAAAAGGTGAAAAGGCAACAGGACCAGAAAGGAAGAGGGTCGCCTGGGTGGGTGGACAGCACAGCAGAGGGGACGCCATCTCCAAGAAGATGACCTTGACAAGAGCCACCATAAGTTTAAAGGTATGGAGAAGACATTTACTCAACTAAGGGACAGTTGGTGAATTCATTTGTTAAGGTTCATGGAAAGTAAGAAAATGAAAACGCCGGGCAATTATCAATTCTCTGAAAACATCAACATGTATGGAAAGAAAAACTAAGAGAGTTTACCATGTGGCTCAGGTCTGAGTAGCATTCACGTAAGTCAGTAATTTTAACTCTGGCTCTCAATGCACTCAAAATCTCCACCTGCCTACATGAGGAGGATGAAAATGTGTGTGCTGTGGAAGGTACTATGGACTGAAGGGATTTTGAAAAGTCAATACTTAATATCTAAAATGGAAATGTTTGAAGTGGCATAAATGTATATTATCAAGAGACATAAAGATAAAGAACAACATATGAAGTAAAAGGCTTCTATGTGGTTGTTTGCCAGGAAGCTGGTGGCTAGGAAGGATTGAGAGGGAGTAGAGGGGAGACCATGTTTTGTAACAGGGGAAATGAAAGGGAAGCAGGTAGCACCTGGAGCCTGCCTCATGTAGAGAACAGGGTTCCACGCAGTGGTCCAGGATCTCAGGGACTTACTGTGGCTGAGGCCACCTGCCCCCAGGACAAGCCCTTGGCACTGAGTCTACTGAAATGTGGGCAGGGAGAAGAGGAGGCCTTCGGACCTTTTACCTGAGCAGCCTGGTTTACTCTAGGCTCTGTCTTGTTTCCTGTCCAGAGATTAATGCAACAAACTGTCTCCAAATTCATCCAAGGGAGTGGAGTTCCTTCCCCTACTCCCGATCCCCCTCAACACCATCCTTTCTGGAAGTGTTATTCTGAACATGTTCTCGGATTTGTTTTTATCAGTGGAGAAAGAGAGGATAGAAGAGCACTCACCCAGCAGAGCCAGAGGGAGGCAGCTCCAAGGACTCCAGTGGCCACCAGAGCCCACCAGGACCCAGGGCTGGAGGTGCACAGTGAGATCCTCAGCGCAGAGGGAGAAATCTCCTAAGGGTAGGAAGGAATAACAGAATTGGGGAGCATTTCCTTACTTCACAGCAAGTGCAAACATGATGGGAAGGCATAGAGAAAAAGGAAGAAATTATAGGGAAATGTGCTTATTTAGGGGGAGGCAATACTGCGGGAGGGGTACAACAGACCCAGCACTGGTGGGGGCTAGGAGAAACAGGTATAATCCTTGACTAGAGAATGGATACTTGAGGTCAGAATAGTTACTAAATGAAGAGGATTACATACATTTTAAGGACGTTGATTTACGTTATACTTTGTCATTGGAATTTAAGGGAAAAGAAAGGAAATTAATAAATAAAAACAGGCTGCATGTGGTAAAATCAATAGTCAGCCCTGGGACTTGTGTTTGCAAAATGCTTTATCCAGGTGCGACACCGCTGACGTCCTGGATTCCCCACCCTCTAGCACCCAGTTCCCTCTCCTGTAATGAGACCGGGGTCAGGAGGAGAGATGGACAGATGAGCCCATGCTGAAGGCAGTCAGTCATCTGTGCCTGCAGATGAGAAACTGCAGTTTGCACCACTAGCCTCCAGCACAGAGATTCCATCCCAGCTCAGTATTTAGTATTTAGAGATGTAGTATTTAGTATTTAGAGATTCCTAAACACTGAGGGGCTCTGCCCAGTCTCCTTCCTCACACTGTGGGGCCTTGGCTTTCCCTCCCAACTCCACACCCCCAAATGCTGGTACAATGCTCAGGTTCATCCTGGACACCGCTCCATCCGACAGGGGAACACTTTTGATCCAGACGCTTTGACAACCTCGTTCAGTCTCCTCTGGAGAGAGCCGCCAAACCCTTTGCTGATGAGCTGAGACTGACCGGGGAACTGTGATCTCGGATGTGGTTGAGGATCAAAATCAAAATTATAGTCGACTCTTAAAGACCAAGTAGGCTCTAACCACGGAATTCCTCTCTACCCACTGATTCCCCCAAAAGAGGAAGAAGCCTCTTCTCTAAGTACACTAAGCTGAAAAACTAAGCTGAAGTACTAAGTACATTCAGCTTTCACTAAGCTGAAACAGCAAAGCGCTGAAACAGCAAACCGCAGGCATAACAGAAAAACCTCAACTTAAATAGTGCTGAGCTGCAACTTGTTTTCCGCGGCTTGTAGTCGAGGAGGAGCCCACGAGGCTTTAGCTGCTGCAAGATCCAAGCGCGCTCCCGCCCAGCGGTGGCCCCGGGCTCAGGGAACCAGCGCTGCTTCTCTCCGAGGCTCGCGGCCTGAGAAACCTTCCGCTCCGAATGCGGGCTGGCCTCTCCGGGAAGCCTTGAAACTCAACTCCTGGGTGGGCCAGGAAGGTTGTCCGAGTTGGGCAGCGCCGGCCGGGGCCCCCCTCAGAGCCGAGCTGCTCGCCTCCCTCGAGACCCAGCGCAGCCTGGAGGAGAGACCGGGTCCTCTCAGGTGGGGCACTTGGTGACTAGAGACCCCATGAGCCCCCACCCTCCAGCCTGGGGCGGGATAGCCCAATCGGATGCTGGGGGGTCCGTTTGGAAACCACTCTCTGCTTTGAGGACACGCGCGGAGCTTCCCTGGGAGCAGGAGGCTCTGAAGGAAGAGGGGCAGACGCGAAGCCTCTGGCCAGCCGCGCCTCCGGTCCAGGCCTCCCTGTGTCCACATCAGGTCTCCCGGCTTTTCACAACAGTGACCTTGACAGCGCCCAGAGTCCGCGGCTTCCATCCAGTCCCCTCTTCCCCTGCGAGGCCGAGAGGGTGCAGAGCTGGTGGCTTCAGGAGGTGGCTGTGAGCGCGGGTCTGGGGCCAAGAGCAGAGGACAGGAGAAGACTGCCAAGCCACCACCGGTCCTGCGACATATTCACCAGCTGCCGGCGGCGAGGTCAGACCCCAGATTCGGGTTTGCCCAGCAGGCGCTCGGCTTCCATGCTCGCTCTCCACCTCCCTGCCTCTCTTAAGGAGGACCTGGCCCATTAGGAAGCCCGGGGCGTTCTGTGGACTGGGTGGTCAAAAATGGTGTGTGGAGGAGGGAGTCAATTGAGATTAGACGTGAAAAACGGGGAACCTGGGGACCGCAGGTTGGGGCCCAGGAGAGGACCGAAGCTTCCATCCAAGACTAAGTGAGGAACACTGCGGCAAGAGGAAGGAAGATTGAGTCGCAGTTGACTTGTGGATTTTATCGGTTTTAGTCCCTGTGTGACCGCCAGAAGTCTGCAGCTTTATCCTTGATGAGTTCTGAAGGCCCCTGAGGAGAGCTGAGCCCAAGAGACTTTTTAATTCCACGGAGGTACTTCGCCTGAGGCAGGTCTCTTCTGTGCCCAGGGAAGGAAGGCTGGGAGTGAGGGTATCTGAAAATATTCACATGAGAAAAGGTCAAGTCCATTTTTGCTATCCTGTACTGAACACAGATCAATTAACTGGTCCCAGGATTGATAGCAACAGGCCTATAACTGGTCTCCTGGTTCCTATCCAGCCCTTCCCCCATAAAGTCAGAATCCTGTCTTCTTGGAACAGTGAATCCCCAGCAGAGGACCTCAGCCTGGGCTGCCTGGAACCTGCTACCCTGCCCAGGAGCTGTCAACACCTGGAGCGCAGTGCAGGAAGAATGCAGGGGCGCTTGGTGGGGAGGTGAGTGAGTGCAGAGGGTCTCCGGGAACTCCTTGGGCCTTTGGGGTAGCTCCCTCTCAGACTGTCCTGCAGGTCCTTACAAGGCCCACTACTGAGCAGGAAGAATGTCCCCAGGAGAGGCAAAGGGTGGGGCAAAGGCGGGTATGGGGTCGCTTGCACTTTGCAGCAAACTGGAGAGTGAGATGACAGGCAAGGAGTACTGGCCCTCACATGGAAACCTATATCACACTGCCCAAAGGGAATAGGAAAGGAACCACAGCGAGGTCCACAGGGGAGGGCTGGGGGAAGCCTTACCCAGGGCGGCGAGTGCAGCCTCAGTGGCAGAAATCCCAGCGGGCCCCCTCCTGCTGCAGACCCCGCTCCTCCTGCGAGGCCCCAGACGAAGCCCGACCCCCAGCTGCCTGCGCAGCCTCCAGGCAGGGGTCGCGGGGTGCTTCGACGAGAGAGTCTGGACCAAAGCGCCAAAATCCGCCGCTGTCGCTCAGCCGCAGCCTGTTTGGGGCTGGGGAGCCTCTCCTGGTCGGTGATCGTCGCGGACAATAGACGAGACCAGAAATTAGATTTGGTTCCGGGATCAAGAACCTTTAATCAGGGAATGGAGATGGCAGGGGACGAGGCCTAAGAGATGTAGACAGCAGGTCCTGTCTGCTTAGGTCGCAAAGGGGAAGAAGGGGCGGGACTCGGGGTCCTGGACTGGGGCTGGGAAGGGTCCGCTCCAGGAGGGTGTGGGTTCCGATGCCTGGGTCCTGGAGGTCCGGGGAGTCGCGGAGGGACCTCCCTCCGGTAACCGACGGATTGGGGACAAATGCTCTGCCCAGTCTGATCCCAGACATCCTTGTAACCCAATATAGTTACAGCTCCGACGCCATGTTCTTCCTGGGTCCAGCTCCAACGCCATGTCCTTCCTGGGTCCCTCCAAAGTAGGGTTGGAGGATCAACTAGTGGATTCCGGCGAGGAGGTATCTTCCTCCCTGGAAGCAGCAGAACAAATTTCAGGGACTCGGGAGTCCAAGGCCTCATTCCAAAAACACTGAGAGATTGGGTACTGGGCGCACAGTATGTCTGTGGGGTCACGCAGACCTGGGAACCAGATCTTAGGGCCTGCAGACCTCCCTCTGCCTTGAGATCAGACTCCACCGCCAGTAACTGGGAGGAAACATCTGTACTCCAGGATTTAGAGACACCGACACGGGAGCAGGGCGCCCCCGTGTGCACAGAGCCCTGTTCTGCAGCTGGAAACCGAACGGGACCCTGTGGAAGTCGCGGGTGGGGAAGCGAAAGGGGAGCTGAGCGTCTGTCCTCAGTCCTTGGGCCACACGGGGGCGCTGCCGCTCTGCGCTCGGATTCTGATGAGCCGCTCTGGAGAGGATGGGGCGGTGGTCTGAGTAAGACACAGATTGTTGATCCAGAAAGGATGTATCAATGAGGTGGGGCTGGGGTTGTCCAGGGAGTGGAAAGGCCTTCTGAGAAGCCCTGGACTGCGCGGGGTTCCGGCTCTGCGGAACAGAGGAGGGCTCTGGAGCGGCCTGTCTCTGAGGTTTCCAACTCCTCCTTGCAAACCCTCCCTCCAGCCTTTTCATGGCAACACTCCAGGAAAATGGAAAGTTGATCATTTTTTTCTTCCACTCCTTAATCCTTTCCTGACTGCTACTTTTAAATAATTTTATTTTAGAAGAGTTTTAAATTTACATAAAAGTTGCAATGGTAGTACAGAGTTGCCATCCGCTCCACAGTCAGTTTCCCCTGATGTTAACATCTCTCATTACTATGGTCCATTTGTCACAGCTAATGAAGCCATTTTCATACCTTATTATTACTAAACTGCAGACTTTATTTGGAGTTCATTAGCGTTCCCCTAATGTCCTTTCTGTGTTTCAGGATTCCATGGAGAATATCACACTACATTTAGTCTCCGTCGTGCCTCCGCGGCATCCTCTGGTCTGTGACAGTTCCTGAGATTTTCCTAATTTTTGATGCCCTTCACAATATTGGGAAGTACTGACCAGATATATTGTAAAATGTCCCTCAAACTGAATTTAGTTGGGGTGTAGATCATGGTTAGACTATGGTTATGGGTGTTTAGATGAGGTGAAGTGCTATTCTCCAAACACCTTATCAAGGTTATAGAATATCAATTTCATGTACCACTGTTGATGTTGAAGTTGATCACCTGGTATATTAGCTTCCTGTAGCTGCCACAACAAATGCCCTCAAAGTTGGCAACTTACAACAACAGAAAATTATTCTTTCACAGTTCTGGAGGCCCAAACTGCAAAATCAATATGCAGGGCCTCACTCCCTCTGAAAGCTCTAAGAGCAAATCCATTCCTTGAGTCCTCCAGCTCTGGCAGCTGCAGGGCATTGGTCAGCGTTCTTTGGCTTGTAGCCCCATTGCTCTAGTCTCTGCCTCATTCTTCACATCACCTTCTCCTCTTCTGACTCTCTCTTCTGTGTACCTGTTAGAAAGACACTTGTCATTGGATCTAGAGCCCACCTGGGTCATCTAGGAGGATCTCCTCATTTCAGTATCCTCCGCTTAATTACATCTGCAAAGACCCTTTTTTTCCAAACAACTTGACATTCACAGCTGCTGGGCACTAAGACAGAAACATATCTTTATGGGGTCCACCATTCAACCCACTACATCTGGCTAAGCTAATATTTCCAGAATGGCAATCCATCAGTGCACCCTAGGTTACAATCCTCATTCTCATTCCCAAATAAACTCAACATATTTGGACATTTCTAATGTCATGTTTTTTAGGTTGAATAATCTAGTGTCAGAAATGATCCTGAAGAAAGATTATCTTTGGAAGAGACTTATACTGAGTTTGTTGCTTGATTTTTCCTCTGCTTCTGAATATCTTTTGAGAGCAAAATTTACTTTCTAAAATGGTAAGGATGAGTCAACTCCTTAAAAGCTGTTTGGGCTGTTGTCACCATTCTATGTGAGCCTTCAGTCTCCCCAAAGAGAAATTTTTTGTTGTCAGGATAAAGTGGTACATGAATAAACAAGATTTCCATTAGGCAGCGTGCCAGTCTCAAGAAAATTCTGGAGAAAATGGTGACAGGATAGACAATTAGATCACAGGCTGCCTGCACATCAAGTAAAAACAAAAATCCTATGCTAGGCACACACTATTAAAAAACAAATCGCTCCAACCCCTACCATTTCCTCACAGAGATTATAGAATTTTTCTTTTGCTGTTGAGAAATTAATAAGAGGCAGAACAGGATGCCAAAACTCCAAAGCATCCAATATAGGCCCTCTTCTGGGACTCCTGTCAGCTATATGTTCAAAAATTATTGTCAGTGGCTCATGCCTGTAATCCCAGCACCTTGGGAGGCCGAGGTGGAAAGATTGCTTAAGCTCATGAGTTTGAAACCATCCTGGGCAACATAGCAAGAGTTCATCTCTATTTTAAAAAATTAAGGCCGGTCGTGGTGCCTCACGCCTGTAATCCCAGCATTTTGGGAGGCCCAGGCAAGCGGATCGCCTGAATTTGGGAGTTGGAGGCCAACCTGACCAACATGGAGAAACCCCGTGTCTAATAAAAATACAAATTCAGCCAGATGTGGTTGCGCATACCTGTAATCCCAGCTACTCGGGAGGCTGCGGCAGGAGTACAGCTTGAACTCGGGAGGCAGAGGTTGCAGTGAGCCGAGATCATGCCATTGCACTCCAGCGTGGGAGAAAAGAGGGAAACTTCATGTCAAAAAAAAATAAAAATAAATAAGAAAAGAAAAAAATTAAGGTCGTCTCTTGTGTACTTTTTAAAATCAATGGATAGAGTATAGCAAAGTTAATTTGGATCTTCAATGGCCATCCTTGGGGTCTTTTGAGTTCCCCAAACTTGTCTTTCTTAAAACTAAAGTAGGCTGGGCGCGGTGGCTCACGCCGGTAATCCCAGCACTTTGGGAAGTCGAGGCGGGCAGATCACGAGGTCAGGAGATTAAGACCATCCTGGCTTGCACGGTGAAACCTCGTCTCTACTAAAAACACAAAAAAATTAGCTGGGCATGGTGGCAGGTGCCTGTAGTCCCAGCTACTCTGGGAGGCTGAGGCAGAAGAATGGTGTGAATCCGGGAGGCGGAGCTTGCAGTGAGCCCAGATCCAGCCACTGCACTACAGCCTGCCGACAGAGTGAGAATCCATCTTAAAAAAAAAAAAAAAGAAAAGAAAAGAAAAGAAAAAAGAAAGAAATTTCTGCATTACCTATGGATGTTAAATCTACTTGAGTAGACTTTAATTCCAAGTTTGTGAATAGCTTTTCTTCAAAACATGCTGAACTTGGTAAAAGAGCCAGCAATTTAGGGAAACTATGTGCAGTTCTGATCTTGTCCATTTGATAAATCACCTGCCTGTCCCCTTGAGGACCCTACTAAGAAAACTGCTTAAAAACTTTTTTTAAAATTTTTTCTTTTTGAGATGAAGTCTCACTCTGTCACCAGGCTGGAGTGCAGTGGTGCAGTCTCGACTCACTGAAACCTCCACCTCCTGGGTTCAAGCAATTATCCTGCCTCAGCCTCCCGAGTAGCTGGGATTACAGGTGCCCACCACCATGCCCAGCTAATTTTTTGTATTTTTAGTAGAGACGAGGTTTCACCATGTTGGCCAGGCTGGTCTTGAATTCCTGACCTCAGGAATCCCTGACTCTCCAAATGTCCCCACTTGTTATGTCATTCCCACTGACAAAACAAAAATAATGCTATCTTGTGTTAGGCTGTTCTTGCATTGCTATAAAGAATACATGAGACTGGGTAATTTATAAAGAAAAATGAGTTTAATTGGCTCACAGTTCTGCAGGCTTTATGGGAAGCACGGTGCTGGGCATCTGATCAGCTTCTGATGAGGTCGCAGGAAGCTTACCATCATGGCAGAAGGCAATAGGGGAGCAGGCACGTCACATAGCGAAAGCAGGAACGAGAGAGAGAGTGGGAGGGGAAGGACGCCACACACTTTTAAACAACCAGCTCTCACTATTTCAAAGACAGCACCAAGGGGACGGTGCTAAACCATTCCTGAGAAATGTGCCCCCATGATCCAATCACCTCCCACCAAGACCCACCTCCAACACTGGGGATTACAATTCAACATGAAATTGGGGTGGGGACAAATATACAAACTACATCACACCCTTTCACTGCTGAATCTAATACCTGTCTCTGTATAGGCAAAACTGTTGATATTGGCAAACTTTATAATATACCTCCTATAAAAATCCAGCTTGATCCATCAAAACCCCTGCCTAATATCAAACAATATCCACTTAAACCAGATGGTGTTATAAGTCATTAAACCTATTACAGAAGGACATAAAAAGCAAGGCCTCATTATTCCATGTACTCATCCTTCTAACACCCTAATTATACCTATTAAAAACCAAACAACTGGGATTAAAGGTTTGCTCAGGAATTCTGAGCAATAAACTATATAGTGATTCCAAGACATCAGTGGTTCCAAATCCCTATATCTCATTAAACTCACAACCTATTGATAGGAGGTTTTTCACTGTCATTGATCTATGAAGTGCATTCTTCAGTAATCCAGTGGATCAGGCCAGCCAGTATCTTTTTGCCTTTACCTTGGAAGGCCAACAATTCACCTGGACAGTAATGCCTCTTGCTTTTACTGAAAACCCTTCCTGTGTTTTTCAAATATTAAAGGAACACTTGGAGGAGATAGTTTCTCCTTAAGGTTCCACCTTACTACAATATATAGATGGCCGCCTTCTTTGCTCTGCTTCACAGATAGCCTATGAAAAAAATGGTGTACAACTGTTAAAGCAACTGACTGCTAAAGACCATGAAGTCTCTGACGAAAAATTGCAGCTAGTGAAAACTCAGAAGAAATATTTGGGACACTTAACTTCAGAAAATGGATTACATTTAGACCCAGATTGGCACTTTGTAATTTCTTCAGTCAAGAACCAAGTGCCACAGAAAAACACAGAATATTATAATGCTGTATTTGTGGTGTGTAAACTACTCGTGTCTTAAGTAGAAAGCATAAAAGGTGAACCAATAAAAAATAATAACTACAAGACTTTTCAACACATAGACGGTACAAGGCCAGCTGCAGTGGCTCATGCCTGTAATCCCAGGACATTGAGAGGCTGAAGTGAACAGATCATTTGAACTCAGGAGTTTCAGACTAGCCTGGGCAACATGGCAAAACCCAGTCTCTTTTAAAAAATGGAAAAAATTAGCTGGTTATGGTGGCACGTGTCTGTGGTACCACCTACTTAGGAGGCTGAGGTGAAAGGATTGCTTGTGCTTCGGAGGCAGAGGTTGCAGTGAGCTGAGATTGTGACACTGCACTCCAGGCTGGGTGACAGAGTGAGATCCTCATCTAAAAAAAGACATAGATGGTATAAGAAGATATAAATAGAAACAACAAAAAGTTAAAAAGAAAGAGGATGGAGTTAAAGTGTGAATTCTTATTACATATCTTTCGGTTTTTGTTTATACAAGCAGTGTTAAGTTTTTATCAGATTAAAATAATGGTTATAAGATATCTGCAAGCAGCCTGGTGATCTCAAATCATAAAAAATGCAACAGATATACAAAAAATAAACAACAGGAAATTAAATCATATCACCAGAGAATCACCTTCACTAAAAGGAAGACATAAAGGAAGGAAAGAAGGAAGAGAAAACAAGCAAAACAACGAGAAAACAAATAAGAAAATGTCCTTCTTTATCAATAATAACACTGAATGTAAATGGTCTAAACTCTCCAATCAAAAGAAATGGAGTGGTGGAATGAATAAAAAAAAAAAAAAAAAAAAGGACCCAATGATCTGTTGCCTACAAGAAACACACTCACCTATAAACACACACATAGACTGAAAATAAAGGGATGGAAAAAGATTGGTCATGCCAATGGAAATCAAAAAAGTGCAGGAGTAGCTATACCTATATCAGACAAAATAGATTTTAAGATAAAAACTATAAGAAGAGACAAAGAGGGTCACTATATAATGATAAAGGGGTCAATTCAGTAAGATGCTATAACAACTATAAATATACATACCCCAACACTGGAGCACCCAGCTGTATAAAGCAATTATTATTAGAGCTAAAGAGAAAGATAGATCTCAGTACAATCATAGCCAGAGACTTCAGCAGCCCCCGTTTCAGCATAGGACAGATCGTTTAGACAGAAAAGCACCAAAGAAACATTGGACTTGATCTGCACTATACATTAAATGGATCTAATAGATATTTACAGCATATTTCATCCAAGAGCTGCAGAATACACATATTTCTTCTCAGGACATGGATCATTCTCAAAGACAGGCCAAATATTTGGTCACAAAACAAGTCTTAGAACATTCAAAAAATTGAAATAATATCAAACATCTTCTCTGACAACAATGGAATAGAACTGGAAATTAATAACAAGAGGAATTTTGGAAACTATACAAACACATAGAAATTAAACAATATGCTCCTGAATGCCTGGTGGGTCAATGAAGACATTAGGAAAGAAATTTAAAAATTTTTTAGGGAGAGGGGTGGAGCAAGATGGCTAGATAGAAGACTTCACTAACCGTCCCCCTGCAACAAAGATACCAATCTAACAACTATCTACATTTAAAAAAAGACAAAATCACCTTCACTAGAAACAAAAGTTATGTGAGCATTCACAAAACCTGGTTTTTAACTTCATATAACTGAAAGAAACACTGAGAAGGGTAGGATGTTGTCCCGAATTGCCAATGCCGCCCCAGCCCCATCCTCCAGCAGCAGCCCTGCAGTGTGGAGAATCATGCACTTGGGAGAGGGAGAACACAGCGATTGTGACACATTGCGTTGAACTCAGTGGTGCCCTGATATAGAGTTATATTGGAAGAATGGAGCAATGAGTTTGGTGGTTGGGGTGGGGAAACAGGGAGGAAAGGAATGAAACAAACACTCGAGGGTAGAAGATGGTACCAGTCTGAGAATCAGGTGCCAGTTCTTTTCTACTGTGTGTCTAGTCACATTGGTGTAGACGTCCAGGCAGGAGGAGAAGCAAGTTGTAGGATCAGCTACATCTGGGCTTCCAAAGGTAATCTCAGGTGCCACCTCTCCTCCATACTTACTAGGAATCCCAGGCCCTTCCCTGAAGTGACACCATCCTGCATCCTTTGTACCCTGCTTTCCACTTCTTCTCACAGCCTTTCCCTCCCTCCCTCCTTCATTCTCCTGGCCAGGACCCACACTCACCCCACCTAACCTCTCTCTTTTGATCAGTCCCATAGTTTAGAAAAGAACAGAAATGCCAGCTGTGGTCAGGTGTTTTAAAAATTTATTCAGTGCTCTCTGGGCATGCATTTCAGGACAATAACATTGTTTCTGGTCTCAATGCACTTTCACCACATCTGATTTTCAACTATGTGAGTTAGGACACCTATATGGTCAATCAATCAACCAGGGAAAGAAACTAAGGTCCAGAGCCCTAAGGATGCTTGCCCAAATCACCCTGATTTTGGCAGAACAGGATCTTCCAAGGGCCTTAAGAGTCAGAGAAGACCGCAGCCCCTTGTGTTGTATTCTGCTGCATGCCGGGGAAACTGGATGGAAACGATTCAGATTCTTCCTGCATGAAAAGGACAACCTGTGTCCTTGGGAATCCTCCAGTGGCCCCAGTTGTTCCTGCTGGGTGTGACATCGATGCCCGAATCCAACCCTGTAAAATAGGGTGAAATTCAGATATTGCAAGTCATGAAAAATTTTCTCCTGATAGCAAAGTTGAAGGATAACAAAACTGAAGGAGGGAACATACCAAACAGAGGAGGAAGGAATATACAAAAAATAACAACAACAACAACATCAACCAACAACAAGAACAAAAAAAATACCAAGATATGGGATGTATGAAATCAGGCATCAACCCATGAAAAGGTGAAAGGGCAACAGGACCAGAAAGGAAGAGGGTCACCTGGGTGGGTGGACAGCAGAGGGGAAGCCATCTCCAAGAAGATGACCTTGACAACAGCCAACATAAGTTTAAAGGTATTGAGAAGACATTTACTCAACTAAGGAACAGTTGGTGAATTCATTTAAGGTTCATGGAAAGTAAGAAAATGAAAATACTAGGCAATGATCAAATCTTGAAAACTTCAGCATATGTGGAAAGAAAAACTAAGAGAGTTTACCATGTGGCTCAGGTCTGAGTAGCAGTCACGTAAGTCAGTAATTTTAACTCTGGCTCTCAATGCACTCAAAATCTCCACCTGCCTACACGAGGAGGATGAAAATGTGTGTGCTGGGGAAGGTACTATGGACAGAAGGGATATTGAAAAGTCAATACATAATATCTAAAATGGAAACATTTGAAGTGGCATAAATGTATATTATCAAGAGACATAAAGATAAAGAACAAAATATGAAGTAAAAGGCTTCCATGTGGTTGCTTGCCAGGAAGCTGGTGGCTAGGAAGGATTGAGAGAGAGTAGAGGGGAGACCATGTTTTGTAACAGGGGAAATGAAAGGGAAGCAGGTAGCACCTGGAGCCTGCCTCATGCAGAGAACAGGGTTCCACGCAGTGGTCCAGGATCTCAGGGATTTACTGTGGCTGAGGCCACCTGTCCCCAGGACAAGCCCTTGGCACTGAGTCTACTGAAATGTGAGGAGGGAGAAGAGGAGGCCTTCAGATATTTGACCTGAGCAGCCTGGCTTACTCTAGACTCTGTCTTGGCTCCTGGCCAGAGATTAATGTAGCAAATTGTCTCTAAATTCATCCAAGGGAGTGGAGTTCCTTCCCCTACTCCTTATCCCCTTCCACACCATCCTTTCTGGAAGTGTTATTGTGAACATGTTCTCGGATTTGTTTTTATCAGTGGAGAAACAGAAGACAGAAGAGCACTCACCCAGCAGAGCCAGAGGGAGGCAGTTCCAAAGACTCCAGTGGCCACCAGAGCCCACCAGGACCCAGGGCTGGAGGTGCACAGTGAGATCCTCAGCGCAGAGGGAGAAATCTCCTAAGAGTAGGAAGGAATAACAGAATTAGGAAGCGTTTCCTTACTTCACAGTGAGTGCAAACATGATGGGAAGGCATAGAGAAAAAGTAAGAAATTATAGGGAAACGTGCTTATTTAGGGGGAGGCGATACTGCGGGAGGGGTACACCAGACCCAGCACTGCCGTGGGGTAGGAGAAACAGGTATAACCCTTGACTAGAGAATGGATACTTGAGGATCAGTATAGTTACTAGATGAAGAGGACTACATACATTTTAAGGACATTGATGTACATTATAGTGTATCATTGGAAGTTAAGGGAAAAGAAAAGAAACTTCATAAATAAAAACAGGCTGCATGTGGTAAAATCAATAATCAGCCCTGGGACTTGTGTTTTCAAAACGCTTTATCCAGGTGTGACACCTCTGACATCCTGGATTCCCCACCCTCTAGCACCCAGTTCCCTCTCCTGTAATGAGACCAGGGTCAGGAGGAGAGATGGACAGATGGGCCCATGCTGAAGGCAGTCAGTCACCTGTGCCTGCAGATGAGAAACCGCCGCCTAACCTTTCTGAACCTCATGCGGAAAAAATGTTTGCACCACTAGCCTCCAGCACAGAGATTCCATCCCAGCTCAGTATTTAGTATTTAGAGATTTAGTATTTAGTATTTAGAGATTCCTAAATACCGAGGACTCTGCCCAGTCTGGTTTGACCATGCTCCTCCTTCCTCACACTGTGGGGCCCCAGCTTTCCCTCCCAATTCCACACCCCCAGATGCTGGTACCATGCTCAGGTTCATCGTGGACACCACTCCATCCGACATGGCAACACTTTTGATCCAGCCGCTTTGACAACCTCGTTCAGTCTCCTCTGGAGACAGCCACCCAGACCTTTGCTGATGAGCTGGGACTGAGGGGAAAAGGCCTGCGATCTCTGATGGGGTTGGCAATGGACACCAAAGTCGTCTTCTAAAGACCAAGTACGCTCTAACCACGGAAATCGTCTCTAACCACTGACTCCTCCAGAAAAGGAAGAAAGAAGCCTCTCTACACTAAGCTGAAACACTAAATACACTAAGTGTTGATTAAGTAGACTAGGTACACTAAGTGGTAAACTTGGTAAACTTAGAGCACTAAGTACACTAAGTACAATAAATGGTAAACTTGGTAAACTTAGAGCACTAAGTGCACTAAGTTCACTAAGTAATAATATTAGTACTAAGTGGTACACTAAGCTGAAACCGCAAACCGCAGCCATGGCAGAGGAACCTCAGCTTAAATAGTGTGGAGCGGCCACTGGTTTCCGCGGCTCGTAGTCGCGCCCGCGAGGAAACGCCAGGGAGGCTTCCTGCCCCGCCCAGCGGTGGCCCAGGGCACAGGGAACCACGGCTGCTTCTCTCCGAGGTTTGTGGCCTGAGAAACTCTCCGCTGCGAATCTGGGCTGGCCTCTCCGGGAAGCCTTGAAACTCAACTCCCGGGTGGGCCAGGAAGGCTGCCCGACTTGGGCAGCGCCGGCCGGAGCCTTCTTCAAAGCCGAGCTGTTCGCCGCCCTCGAGGCCCAGGCGAGCCTGGAGGAGGGACCGGGTGCGCTCAGATGGGGCCCTTGGTGACTGGCGACCCCATGAGCACCCACCCTCCAGCCTGGGGCGGGATGGCCCAATCGGGCGCTGTGGGGGTCCGTTTGGAAACCGCTCTCTGCTTTGAGGATACGCGGGGAGCTTCCCTGGAAGCTGTGAAGAGGGGCAGACACGAGGCCTCTGGCCAGCCGCGCCTCGGGTCCAGGCCTCCCTGTGTCCACATCTGGTCTCCCGGCTTTTCACAACAGTGACCTTGACAGCGCCCAGAGTCCGCTGCTTCCGTCCAGTCCGCTCTTCCCCTACGTGGCCAAGAGGACGCAGCACTGGCGGCTTCAGGAGGTGGCTGTGAGCGCGGGGCTGGGGCCAAGAGCAGAGGACCAGAGAGGAGTCTCCAAGCCACCACCGGCCCCGTCACCGGCTACCGGCTAGGTCAGGCCCCAGATTCGGGTTTGCCCAGCGGGCGCTCGGCGTCCACGCTCCCTCTCCACCTTCTTGCCTCTCTAAGGAGGACCTGGCCCACTAGGAAGCCCGGGGCGTTCTGTGAACTGGGTGGTCAAACACGGTGTGTGGGGAAGGGGCCAATTGAGATTAGACGTGAAAAACCGCGAACCTGGGGACCGCAGGGTTGGGGCCCAGGAGGGGCCCGAAGCTTCCATCTAAGACAGGTGACTAAGTGAGGGGCACAGGTGCAACAGAAAGAAAGACTGATTTGCAATTGACTTGTAGGTGTAATCGGTTTTAGTCCCTATTTGACCACCAGAGGTCTGCAGCTCTATCCTTGGTGAGTTCTGAAGGCCCCTGGGGAGAGCTGAGCCCAAGAGACTTTTTAATTCCACAGAAGAACTTCGCCTGAGGCAGGTCTCCTCTGTGCCCAGGGAAGGAAGGCTGGACGTGATGGTTTCTGAAAAAAGTTACACAGAGAAAAGGTCAAGTCCATTTTTGCTATCCTGTACTGAACACAGATCAATTAACTGGTCCCAGGATTGATAGCAACAGGCCTATAACTGGTCTCCTGGTTCCTATCCAGCCCTTCCCCCATAAAGGCAGAATCCTGTCCTCTTGGAACAGTGAATCCCCAGCAGAGGACCTCAGCTCCCAAGCTCCATTCAGCCTGGGCTCCCTGGAACCTGCTACCCTGCCCAGGAGCTGTCAACACCTGGAGTGCAGTGCAGGAAGAATGCAGGGGCGCTTGATGGGGAGGTGAGTGAGTGCAGATGGGGTTCCTGGAACTCCTTGGGCCCTTGGGGTAGCTCCCACTCAGGCTGTCCTGCAGGTCCTCACAAGGCCCACTACTGAGCAGGAAGAATGTCCCCAGGAGAGGCAAGAGGTGGGGCAAGGGCGAGTATGGGGTCCCTTGCATTTGCG
Source organism: Homo sapiens (assembly GCF_000001405.40). Taxonomy (NCBI): domain Eukaryota; kingdom Metazoa; phylum Chordata; class Mammalia; order Primates; family Hominidae; genus Homo; species Homo sapiens. Next base: position 1,721,308 of record NT_167245.2, read on the forward strand.
GCAAAATGGAGAGGGAGATGAGAGGCAAGGAGTACTGGCCCTCACATGGAAACCTATAGCACACTGCCCAAAGGGAATGGGAAGGGAAACACAGCCACGCACGTCCACAGAAGACTTGGCAGATGGGAGAGGGTAGCTTTGAGGACTGAAATCCCTACTTCACAGGACTCTGGATACTTGGACACTTGCTTCCTCCTGTGCTTCTGTACGAATCTCAGGACTGTGGGACACTCTCTGCACTCTTATTCTTGTAATTCTCTTCTCTCCGGATGGCCTCCTTTCCCTTGGAGTGCAGCAGTGGCCATCAGATTCTTGGGCTGAAGGTCACTGGGTGACTGTGGGATTCTGGGGCCAGTTACTTCCCTTTCTTAGCCACCCCATGCTTTACAGAACTGAGCTCCACAGTCATACTCATCTCTCCCAGTGAAGCTCAAAGGAATTATTAATAAAAAACACAAAAACATAAATGGAATGATGTTTATGGAACCAATTGATTAACGTGGAAAAGTATGGGCTTCCCAGTTTTCTGCCCTTCGTGAGAACTTAATCCTGAAACACTGATCTCATGTCAACCTTCTGCCTTAACTGGGAATTCCTGTGGCCAGTCTGTTCTAAGGGTATCCCGTGAGCCCCTAGGGATGGAGAACAGAAGGCCACTTTTCCTAAACACACACGTGGTTCTGTCCTGGCCAGATCAGTGGACTTCCAGTGTCCTTCCTGAGTCACACCGAGGTGAATTGCATAGACCAGAAACCCACATTTTAAAAAGAATAAAATAAAATAAGTGGCCTGTAGTGTGGGGGCTGGGGTTGGTGCGGGCTTCCGGCTTGGCCGCGGGTGTCTGCATCGTTCAGCCCCGGGGCTTTTGTGTCGGGTCTGGCCTGGCTTTCTGTCCGCAAGTTTTTGCCCTGCTCCGCGGCGCTCCTCCGGGGCGGGAGCCGCGAGGCCCGGGCGAGCTCGGGCGGGACCGGAGGCTGCGAAGGCTGCCGGGAGCGGGACTCGCAGCTCCTGGATATGCCAGCGTTCCTGGAAGACTCCTGGGTCCTGACGAAAGACAAGTTGATGAGTGAGTTGGTCGCCATTAAAGTGAGGCTCCCGGCCCGGAGCAGCGCAGAGACCAGGACGCGCAGCCTCGCCTGCAGCACTCGGCCCTACCTCTACCCCGCCGCTACCTCTACCCCGCCGCGGCGCCGACAGCGAGGGCCCCGCCTCCCCCAGCTGGCTCCAGAGCCAAGCCACCCACAGCAGGAAAGCCACGAAGAAAACAGTTCAACTCAGACCAAAAGATAAAGCTGATCTCGAGGTAACCGCGCTCACTAATGAAGATCTCGTGGACCCGCTTGCGAGGTATAAAGAGAAACCTAGTCCTACTGGAGAACAACCAGGAAGCGATGTGAGAAAAAAACCTTGAAACCGAAGGAACGAGGACGATCTGTCGCCCAGGCTGGCGTGCAGTGGCGCGATCTCGGCTCTCGGCTCACTGCGGCCTCCGCCTCCCGGGTTCAAGAGATTCTCGTGCCTCAGACTCCTGAGTGGCTAGAACCACAGGCATGCGCCACCTCGCCTGGCTACATTTTTTTTTTTTTTTTTTTTTTTTTTTTTTTTTTTTTTTTTTGTATTTTTGGTAGGGACGGGCTTTCCCCGTGTTGTCCAGGCTGGTCTCCAACTCCTGAGCTCAAGGGATCTGCCCATCTCGGCGGATTAACAATTTAATCTTCAGCAGAAAATGGAAGGCAGAATTGAAATAAAGGTTCTAATAGATACTGTGACAATGAAGAAGACTAAAGTAAAGATCAAGCTTGAGAAGACAGAACCACTAAAGGGCAGAGCAAAGACTCCAGTAACACTGAAGAAAAGAAGACTTGAGATAGTCAGAGCTATTCTCACGCTGGAATAACTGAGGCTGAACGCACAAGTGGAGCTTCAGAAGGCGGAGCTCTGCAGGCCTGGAGTAGGGAGTCTACCAGAGACCGGAGGAGAAGGCCAAGGAAGAGGGTGGAAACCAGAACATTTTCCAATAGACAGTGCAGTAATTTCAGAGAGTGCTCCCACAGCTGAAACTCTAATGGCTTCAGGACACAAAACCTTCGTTGTCAGTAGGATGACTGGAAATTTCAAGCATGCAGCTCCTATTCTGCAACTCAGTAAATTTTCAAACATACCCCAAACTCCAAAGAGACCACTGGGGTTGGGGGGGAACAGAATAAAGAAGAGTAGAAAGGGATATTCTTAAGGAAATGTTGCCCTATGAAGCATCTACACCAACAGGAATTGCTGCAGACCAGTCAAAGGGGCTACAGGCAGGCCATTAGAACTCACTGAGTTCAGGATGGCAGAATCTTTTTCATCTAAATATGTTCCTAAGTGTGTTCCCTTGGCAGATGTCAAGTCAGAAAAGACAAAAAAAGAATGAGCCATTTCTGTATGGACAAAAATTTTGCTGTTTGTTGTTGTAGTAGGTTTTGTTTGTTTGTTTTTTGGTCTATCAAGCTATAGAAACCAAACAAGGAAATCTTTTCTCTAACGTTCTTCCTGATGACTCTAGAAACCCAACTGAATGGAATCCATCTGGCACATTCAAGTTGGCCTCCTATTTTTAATAACTGTATTGAAAAACACTTGTGTACCCTTGTTGACTTAAATAGCTAAAAAAAAAAAAACAGGTGATTTCACCTCAATAAATGTAGTATTCCATGAAAAGCAAACAAAATATATATAAATGAACTTCATTAGAGTGTTTTTGAACTCTGGACTAGCAGGAGATCACTTCATGCCATATGAAAATCTTTTATAGCTCTGAAACTTTTTTGTAGGCTTTTTAAAATTTTTTCTTCTCATTGTCCAAACCCATGCAGGGTTTCTTTAAAATGTGGACACCTGGTTTCCTTTTTGAAAAATGAGATATATATATATATATATATATATATATATATATATATACACACACACACACACATATATATACATATATACACACATATATACATATATACACACATATATATACATATATACACACATATACATATATACACATATATACATATATACACATATATACATATATACATATATACACATATACATATATACACATATATACATATATATACATATATATACATATATACATATATACGTATATATACGTATATATACATATATATACATATATATACGTATATATATGAAACAAGAAGGGAAAAACATGGTAATATAGTATGAAGTTACACATTTAAATACTTTGAATTCTTACAGAAAAGAGTGGAAGAATTATCTTCTACTGAATAAAAACTTTACAGACATGGAAGACAATGAAATTTGGTAAGAGAAAAAGTAACATGGTTGTACTTTTTGTAACTGCAACGAAATTTGATGGTGTTTATGAGGAAAACTACAGCAATAATCTCTTCTGTAACTTTTATTAATAGTAATGTTAGACTCAGAAATGGTGGCCTCCATGTTCTTCCGCCCGCTGTTGGTGGCCGCCACCCTTCGGACCACACTGCGGGCTGCTGCTCAGGTTCTGGGAAGTTCTGGATTGTTTAATAACCATGGACTCCAAGTACAGCAGCAACAGCAAAGGAATCTCTCACTACATGAATACATGAGTATGGAATTATTGCAAGAAACTGGTGTCTCTGTTCCCAAAGGATATGTGGCAAAGTGACCAGATGAAGCTTATGCAATTGCCAAAAAATTAGGTTCAAAAGATGTTGTGATGAAGGCACAGGTTTTAGCTGGTGGTAGAGGAAAAGGAACATTTGAAAGTGGCCTCAAAGGAGGAGTGAAGATGGTTTTCTCTCCAGAAGAAGCAAAAGCTGTTCCTTCACAAATGATTAGGAAACAGTTGTTTACCAAGCAAATGGGAGAAAAGGGCAGAATATGCAATCAGGTATTGGTCTGTGAGTGAAAATATCCCAAGAGAGAGTGCTACTTTGCAATAACAATGGAAAGGTCATTTCAAGGTCTTGTATTAATAGGAAGTTTACATAGTGGGGCCAACATTGAAGATGTTGCTGCTGAGACTCCTGAAGCAATAATTAAAGTACCTATTGATATTGTAGAAGGTATCAAAGAGGAATAAGCTCTCCAGCTTGCACAGAAGATGGGATTTCCATCTAATATTGTGGCTTCAGCAGCAGAAAACATGATCAAGCTTTACAGCCTTTTTCTGAAATACGATGCAACCATGATAGAAATAAATTCAATGGTGGAAGATTCAGATGGAGCTGCATTGTGTAAGGATGCAAAGATCAATTTTGACTCTAATTCAGCCTATCGCCAAAAGAAAATGTTTGATCTACAGGACTGGACCCAGGAAGATGAAAGGAACAAAGATGCTGCTAAGGCAGATCTCAACTACACTGGCCTCGATGGAAGTATAGGCTGCCTAGTAAATGGTGCTGGTTTGGCTATGGCCACAATGGATATAATAAAACTTCATGGAGAGACTCCAGCTAATTTCCTTGTTGGTGGTGGTGCTACAGTCCATCAAGTAACAGAAGCATTTAAGCCTATCACTTCAGATAAAAAGGTACTGGCTATTCTGGTCAACATTTGTGGAGGAATCATGCACTGTGATATTACAGCAAAGGGTATAGTCATGGCAGTAAAAAGTTTGGAAATTAAAATACCTGTTGTGGTACAGTTACAAGGTACACAAGTTGATGATGTTAAGGCACTAAAAGCAGACAGTGGACTTAAAATACTTGCTTGTGATGATTTGGTGGAAGCTGCTAGAGTGCTTGTAAAGCTCTCTGAAATAGTGAAGCAAAGCAAGCGCATGTGGATGTGAAATTTCAATTGCCAATATGATCTGAAAACCCAGTGATGGCTGAAGGTGTTAAATGTGCTACAATCATTAAGGATACTGTGTTCTGTGTTATTGTTCTTTTAAGTGTGTGGAGATTGTAGTTGCCATCTAGGCACACAAACATTTAAAAGCATTTGGTTTGCATTTAATTCTACCATTCAGAATGGACTGTTTGTAAGAAGCATGTATAATGCAAATATCTTCTTTATTTCGTCACAGCCAGTCTTTTTTGCTTCTACAAAATGCAACTTGCAATATGACAGTTTATTATTGTTGGATACAAAGTTCTTCATTGATAAGAGACCTACAAATAAAATAAATATGAAGATAAAGCTTTATTCTTCAGTGTTAACATACAGTATATCTAATAACTAGCCTCATTAGTAGACCAGTATATTAAAACACTGTTTTATGTAAAAAGTGTTTATCTTCAGCACCAAATACATAATAAATGTAACAATCACTATTTATAAACAGAGCTTTCAAACACTCCTCAGAAAATCAAAATACTTCTAAGTATTTTGATGAAGTAACTTTGTAATTATGTGAACATTGTTTTAATCATTAGGAAACGCTGATAACTGCAAGAATTCATGATTCCATGGTATTAAGAAGCACCTGTAGGTTTGTTTCAAATAGAGGCATATTAACCAAGGGAAAAAAATAGTAATGTTATTATTGTAGCCCTATCATATTCACTTTTTAAACGACTGGCTTTTAAAAGTATCATGAAAGTCCTACTTCAGTAAAACCCATTTAAGTACAGTTGATGTTTAGCAGGGATCTTTTAGTGCAGCATAAACATGCTTTAGAGAACTGTTGGCTGGCTGTACATGTTTTTAAAAGCTGTTAGCTAGCTATGAGGCTACAGCTGAAAATTACACTTTTTATGAGAAATTGTAAACACTGGTCTTATGTTTCATCTGGATTCCTTATTGCATCATCTTCTGTTAACAAAAACAAATTTTCCCAGTTTTTTTGCCTTGTATTTCCCAGCACAATTTCATTTAAAAGTACAAAAAGTGTTTGCTCTCAAATTGCATCATAAGCAAGTGTTAATACTCTGGGCTTTTTTATGTTTGTTTGTTTGTTTGTTTTTTGAGATGGAGTCTCGCTCTATTGCCCAGGCTGGAGTGCAGTGGTGCTATCTCGGCTCACTGCAAGCTCGGCCTCCCGGGTTCACGCCATTCTCCTGACTCAGCCTCCCAAGTAGCTGGGACTACAGGCGCCCGCCACTACGCCCGGCTAATTTTTTGTATTTTTAGTAGAGACGGGGTTTCACCGTTTTAGCCGGGATGGTCTCGATCTCCTGACCTCGTGATCCGCCCGCCTCGGCCTCCCAAAGTGCTGGGATTACAGGCGTGAGCCACCGCGCCCGGCCTGAAGGACACCCTTAGAGAAGTGCAAAATACTATGGCAGGTTTCAACAATAGAATCAAACAACTAGAAGAAAGAACTTCAGAGCTCTAAGACAAGGCTTTCAAATTAACTCTGACAAAAACAAAGAAAAAAGAATCAAATGAACAAAGCCTCCAAGAAGTTTGGGATCATGTTAAATGACCAAACTTAAGAATAATTGATGTTCCTGAGGAAGAAGAGAAATCTGCAAGTTTGAAAATTTTATTTGAGGGAATAATTGAGGAAAACTTCCCTGGCCTTGCTACAGATTTGGACATTCAAATACAAGAAGCTCAAAGAACACCTGGGAAATTCATCTCAAAAAGATCATCACCTAGACACATAGTCATCAGGTTATCTAGGGTCAAGATGAAGGAAAGAATCTTAAGAGTTGTGAGGCAAAGGCATCAAGTAACCTGTAAAGGAAAACCTATCGGATTAACAGCAGATTTATCAGCAGAAACCCTACAAGCTAGAAGGGATTGGGGTCCAATCTTTAGACACTTAAACAAAATAATTATCAACCCAGAATTTTGTATCCAGTAAAAGTGATGAAGGAAAAGATAAAGTATTTTTCTTTTTTTTTTTTTTTGGGACGGAGTCTTGCTGTCACCCAGGCTGGGGTGCAGTGGCACAATCTCAGCTCACTGCAAGCTCCGCCTCCTGGGTTCATGCCATTCTCCTGCCTCAGCCTCCCAAGTAACTGGGACTGCAGGCGCCCACCACCACGCCCAGCTAATTTTTTGTATTTTTAGTAGAGATGGGGTTTCATCATGTTAGCCAGGATGCTCTCCATCTCCTGACCTCATGATCCGCCTGCCTCAGCCTCCCAAAGTGCTAGGATTACAGGCATGAGCCACTGTGCCCAGCGGAAAGATAAAGTATTTTTCATACAAACAAATGCTGAGAGAATTTGCCACTAACAAGCCAGCACTATAAGAACTACTAAAAGATGTTCTAAATCTTGAACCAAAATCTTGAAATATACCAAAATGTGACCTGCTTAAAGCATAAATCTCACAGGGCCTATAAAATAATCACACTACAAAAAAAAAAAAAAAAGGTATTTAGGCAACAACTAGCATAATGAATAGAATAGTACCTCACATCTCAATACTAACACTCAATGTAAATGGCCTAAATGCTCCACTTGAAAGATATGGAATTGCAAAATGGATAAGAATTCCCCAACTAAGTATTTGCTGTCTTCAAGAGACTCACCTAACACATAAGGACACATACAAACTTAAGATAAAGTGATGGAAAAAGATGTTCCATGCAAATGGGCACCAAAAGCAAACAGGAGTAGCTATTCTTCTATCAGAAAAAATAGACTTTAAAGCAACAACAGTTTAAAAAGACAAAGAGGGACATTATATAATGACAAAAGGACTAGTCTGACAGGAAAATATCACAATCCTAAATATATGTGCACCTAATACTGGAGCTCCTAAATTTATAAAACAATTACTACTAGACTTAAGAAATGAGATAGATGGCAACACAACAATAGTGGGGGATGTTAATACTCTACTGACAGCACTAGACAGGTCATCAAGATAGAAAGTCAACAAAGAAACAATGGACTTAAACTCTACCCTAGAACAAATGGATTTAACAGATATTTATAGAACACTCCACCCAACAACTGCAGAATGTACATTCTATTCATTAGCACATGGAACATTCTCCAAGATAAATCATATGATAGGCCACAAAACAAGTCTTAACAAATTTGAGAAAATTGAAATTATGTCAGGTACTCTCTCAGACCACAGTGAAATAAAATTGGAAATCAACACCAAAAGGAGCCCTCAAAACCATGCACATACGTGGAAATTAAGTAACCTGCTCCTGAATGATCAATGGATCAACAATACAATCAAGATGGAAATACAAAAATTCTTTGAACTGGCCTGTGTGGTGGCTCAATCCTGTAATCCCCACACTTTGGGAGGCCAAGGTGGGTGGATCACCTGAGGTCAGGGATTTGAGAGCAGCCTGACTGATATGGTGAAACCTTGTCTATACTAAAAATACAAAAATTAGCTTGGTGTGGTGGTGGGTACCTGTAGTCCCAGCTACTCAGGAGGCTGAGACAGGAGAATTGCTTTGCTTGAACCCGGGAGGTAGAGATTGCAGTGAGGCGAGATGGTGCCACTGCACTCTAGCCTGGGTGACAGAGCAAGACTCTGTCTCCAAAAAAAAAAAAAAAAAAAATTCCTTGAACTGAATGATTATAGTGACCGAACCTATCAAAACCTCTGGGATACAGAAAAAGCAGTGCTAAGAGGAAAGTTCATAGCATTAAATGCCTACATCAAAAAGTCTGAAAGAGCACAAATAAACAATCTAGGGTCGCACCTCCAGGAACTAGAGAAACAAGAACAAACCAAACCCAAATGAGCAGAAGAAAAAAAAATAACCTAGATCGGAGCAAAACTAAATGAAATTGAAACAAAAAATTACAAAAGATAAATGAAACAAAAAGCTGGTTGTTTGAAAAGATAAATCAAATTGATAGACAATTAGTAAGATTAACCAAGAAAAGAAGGAAGAAGATTCAAATAAGCTCAATTAGAAACAAAACAGAAGATATTACAACCAATACCACAGAAATACAAAAGATCATTCAAGGCTACTATGAACACCTTTATGCACATAAACTAGAAAACCTAGAGGACATGGATAAATTCCTGAAAATATACAACCCTCCTAGATTAAACCAGGAAGAAATGGAAACCCTGAACAGGCCAATAACAAGCAGTGAGATTGAAATGGTAATTTAGGCTCTACCTCTCCCCCTCCCCCTCCCCCTCCCCCTCCCTCTCCCTCTCCCCACAGTCTCCCTCTCCCTCTCTTTCCACGGTCTCCCTCTGATGCCGAGCCGAAGCTGGACTGTACTGCTGCCATCTCGGCTCACTGCAACCTCCCTGCCTGATTCTCCTGCCTCAGCCTGCCGAGTGCCTGCAATTGCAGGCGCGCGCCGCCACGCCTGACTAGTTTTCGTATTTTTTTGGTGGAGACGGGGTTTCGCTGTGTTGGCCGGGCTGGTCTCCAGCTCCTAACCGCGAGTGATCTGCCAGCCTCGGCCTCCCAAGGTGCCAGGATTGCAGACAGAGTCTCGTTCACTCAGTGCTCAATGGTGCCCAGGCTGGAGTGCAGTGGCGTGATCTCGGCTCGCTACAACCTCCACCTCCCAGCCGCCTGCCCTGGCCTCCCAAAGTGCTGAGATTGCAGCCTCTGCCCGGCCGCCACCCCATCTGGGAAGTGAGGAGTGTCTCTGCCTGGCCGTCCATCGTCTGGGATGTGAGGAGCCCCTCTGCCTGGCTGCCCAGTCTGGAAAGTGAGGAGCGTCTCTGCCCGGCCGCCATCCCATCTAGGAAGCGAGGAGCGCCTCTTCCCGGCCTCCATCCCCATCTAGGAAGTGAGGAGCGTCTCTGCCCGGCTGCCCATCGTCTGAGATGTGGGGAGCACCTCTGCCCCGCCGCCCCGTCTGGGAGGTGAGGAGCGTCTCTGCCCGGCCGCCCCGTCTGAGAAGTGAGGAGACCCTCTGCCTGGCAGCCGCCCCGTCTGGGAAGTGAGGAGCGTCTCCGCCCGGCAGCCACCCTGTCTGGGAGGGAGGTGGGGGTCAGCCCCCGCCAGGCCAGCCGCCCCATCCAGGAGGGAGGTGGGGGTGTCAGCCCCCCGCCCGGCCAGCCGCCCCCTCCGGGAGGGAGGTGAGGGGCTCCTCTGCCTGGCCGCCCCTAATGGGAAGTGAGGAGTCCCTCTGCCCGGCCACCACCCCGTCTGGGAGGTGTACCCAACAGCTCATTGAGAACGGGCCAGGATGACAATCGCGGTTTTGTGGAATAGAAAGAGGGGAAAGGTGGGGAAAAGATTGAGAAATCGGATGGTTGCCGTGTCTGTGTAGAAAGAAGTAGACATGGGAGACTTTTCATTTTGTTCTGTACTAAGAAAAATTCTTCTGCCTTGGGATCCTGTTGATCTGTGACCTTACCCCCAACCCTGTGCTCTCTGAAACATGTGCTGTGTCCACTCAGGGTTAAATGGATTAAGGGTGGTGCAAGATGTGCTTCGTTAAACAGATGCTTGAAGGCAGCATGCTCGTTAAGAGTCATCACCACTCCCTAATCTCAAGTACCCAGGGACACAAACACTGCGGAAGGCCGCAGAGTCCTCTGCCTAGGAAAACCAGAGACCTTTGTTCACTTGTTTATCTGCTGACCTTCCCTCCACTATTGTCCTATGACCCTGCCAAATCCCCCTCTGTGAGAAATACCCAAGAATGATCAATAAAAAAAAAAAAAAAAATGGTAATTTAAAAAATTACCGGCCGGGCGCAGTGGCTCACGCCTGTAGTCCCAGCACTTTGGGAGGCCTAGGCGGGCAGATCACCTGAGGTCGGGAGTTTGAGACCAGCCTGACCAACATGGAGAAACTCCGTCTCTTCTAAAAATACAAAAAAATTAGCCAGGGGTGGTGGTACATGCCTGGAATCCCAGCTACTCGGGAGGCTGAGGCAGGAGAATCACTTGAACCCAGGAAGTGGAGGTTGCAGTGAGCAGAGACCGTGCTATTGCACTCCAGCCTGGGCGACAAGAGTGAAACTCCACCTCAAAGAAAAAAAAAAAGGTACCAACAACAAAAAAAAGCCCAGAACCAGATGGATGCACAGCGGAATTCTATCAGACATTCAAAAAATGGTACCTATACCACTGACACTATTCCAAAAGGTAGAGAAAGAGGGAATCCCCTCTAAATCATTCTATGAAACCAGTATCACCCTAATACCAAAACCAGGAGAGGACATAACAAAAAAAAAACAAAACTACAGGCCAATATACCTAATGAGCATAGATGCAAAAATCCTCAAAACATACTAGTGGCCGGGCGTGGTGGCTCACACCTGTAATCCCAGCACTTTGGGAGGCCAAGGTGGGCTGATCACTTGAGGCCAGGAGTTCAAGACCAGCCTGACCAACATGGAGAAACCCCATCTCTACTAAAAATACAAAATTAGCTGGGCGTAGTGGTGCATGCCTGTAGTCCCAGCTACTTGGGAGGCTGAGGCAGGAGAATCGCTTGAGCCCAAGAGGCGGAGGTTGGGGTGAGCCGAGATCTCGCCATTGCATTCCAGCCTGGGCAACAAGAGCGAAACTCCGTCTGGAAAAAAAAAAAAATGCTAGCTAACAGAATCCAACAGCATATCAAAACAATAATCCACCATGATCAAGTGGGTTTCCTACCAGATATGCAAGGATGGTTTAACATATGAAAGTCAATAAATGTAATACACCACATAAACAGAATTAAAAACAAAAATCACATGATCATCTCAATAGATGCAGAAAAATCATTTCACAAAATCCAGCATCCCTTTATGATTAAAACCCTCAGCAGGGTTGGGCATGGTGGCTAACGCCTTTAATCCCAGCACTTTGGAAGACTGAGGGGGGTGGATCACGAGGTCAGGAGATCAAGACCATACTGGCTAACGTGGTGAAACCCCGTCTCTACAAAAAAAATACAAAAAATTAGCCGGGCGTGGTGGTGGGCGCCTCTAGTCTCAGCTACTTGGGAGGCTGAGGCAGGAGAATGGCGTGAACCCAGGAGGCGGGTGAGCGGAGATCGTGCCACTGCATCCAGCCTGGGCCACAGAGCGAGACTCCATCTCAAAAAAAAAAAAAAAAAAAACCCTCAGCAAAATCAGCATAGAAGGGACATACCTTAAGGAAATAAAAGGCATCTATGACAAACCCAGAGCCAACATTATACTGAACGGGGGAAAGTTGAAACCATTCCCGCTGAGAACTGGGACAAGTCAAGGATTCCCACTTTCACCACTTCTATTCAACATAGTACTGGAAGTCCTAACCAGAGCAATCAGACAAGAGAAAGAAATAAAGTGCATCTAAATTGGTCATAAGGAAGTCAAACTGTCGTTGTTTGCTGATGACATGATTGTATACCTAGAAAACCCTAAGGACTCATCCAAAAGTCTCCTAGAATGGGTGAACAAATTCAGCAGTTTCACGATACAAAATTATTGTACAAAATCAGTAGCTCTGCTATACACCAACAGCCACCAAGCTGAGAATCAAATCAAGAACTCAACCCCTTTTACTTTAGCTGTGACAAAAATAAAGTACCTAGGAATATACTTAACCAAGGAGGTGAAAGATCTCTACAAGGAAAACTACAAAACACTGCTGAAAGTAATCACAGATGACACAGACAAATGGAAACACATCCCATGCTCATGAATGGGTTGAATCAATATTGTGAAAATGACCATACTGCCAAAAAAAAACTACAAATTCAATGCAATTTTCATCAAAATACCATCATCATTCTTCACAGAACTAGAAAAAATAATCCTAAAATTCATATGGAACAAAAAAAGACCCTGCATAGCCAAAGTAAGACTAACCAAAAAGAACAAATCTGGAGGCATTACATTACCCAACTTCAAACTATACTATAAGGCTGCAGTCACCAAAACAGCATGGTACTGGTATAAAAATAGGCCTATAGACCAATGGAACAGAATAGAGGACCCAGAAATAAAACCAAGTACTTATAGTCAACCGAACTTCAACAAAGCAAACAAAAACATAAACTGGGGAGAGGACACCGTATTCAACAAATGGTCCTGGGTTAATTGGCAGGCCATATATAGAAGAATGAAACCGGATTCTCTTCTCTCATCCTATACAAAAATCAACTCAAGGTGGATCAAAGACTTAAATCTAAGACATGAAACCATAAAAATTTTAAAAGACAACATAAAAAAATAACCTTCTAGACATTGCCTTAGGCAAAGACTTCATGACCAGGAACCCAAAAGCAAATGCAACAAAAACAAAGATAAATAGATGGGATTTAATTAGACTAAAAGCCTCTGCACAGCAAAGAAACAATCAGCAGGGTAAACAGACAACACACAGAGTGAAAGAAAATCTTTGATCTACACATCCGACAAAGGACTAATATCCAAAATCTACAAAGAATTCAAACAAATCAGAAAGAACAAAACAAACAATCCCATCAAAAAACGCACTAAGGACATGAATAGAAAATTCTCAAAAGAAATATACAAATAGCCAACAAACATATGAAAAAAAATGCCCAACATCACTAATGATCAGGGAAAGGCAAATCAAAACCACAATGCAATAACACCTCACTCCTGCAAGAATGACCATAATCAAAATACCAAAAAAAAAATAGATGTTGGCATGGATGTGACGAAAAGGGAACACTTTTACACTGCTGGTGGGAATGTAAACTAGTACAACAATTACGGAAAACAGTATGGAGAATCCTTAAATAACTAAAAGTAGATCTACTGTTTGATCCATCAATCCCACCATTGGATATCTACCCAGAGGAAAAGAAGTCATTATACAAAGAAGATGCCTGCATATACATGTTAATAACAGCACAATTTGCAATTGCAAAAATATGGAACCAGCCCAAATGCCCATAAATCATCGAAAGGATAAAGAAAATGATGTATATGTATACCGTGGAATACTATTGAGCCATAAAAAGGAATGAAATAATGGCATTCGCAGCAACCTGGATGGAAATGGAGACCATTATTCTAAGTGAAGTAACTCAGGAATGGAAAACCAAACATGGTATGTCCTCACTCATAAATGGTAGCTAAGCTATGAGGATGCAAAGGCATAAGAATGATAAAATGGACTTTGAGGACTCAGGGGAAGAGGGGTAGGGAGGTGAGAGATAAAAGACTACACATTGGGTACTTTGTATGCTGCTCAAGTGATGGGTGCACCAAAATCTCAGAAATCAACACTGAAGAACTTATTCATGTAACCAAACACCACCTGTTCTCCCAAAAACCTATTGAAATAAAAAAAAATAAAAAACAAAACAACCCCACCCCCAAAAAAAGAAATAAAGAAGACATAAATAAGGGCGGAGAAATACTATGTTCAAAGATTGGAATATTCAGTATTGTTGAGGTACCAAGTCTCCCACAACTGACCTGTGGATTAAGTGCAATTCCAATCAAAATCATGGCAGGGCTGAACCTAAAAGTTTAAAAAAATAAAAAATAAAAATAAATCCTGGCAGGTTTTTTTTAAAAAGAAATTACCAAGCTGATTTGTCAATTTATATGGAAATCTGAAGGACTTTGAATATCCACAATAATTTTTAAAAAGAAGAAACTTGGAAAATACACACTACCTGATTACAAGACTTACTATAAAGCTCCAGGAATCAAGGTTGTGTTACTGGCATAAGGATAGCCATGAATCGGTGGAATAGAATAAAGAGTAGATGAATAAAACCACACATATATGTCTCTGAAAAATGCTTTAAGGGGAAAGGATAGTGTTTTCAACAAATGGTGCTGGAAAAAAAAATGACAAGAAATAAGAGGAACACCATATCCAAAAACTCATTTGATATAAATCATAGATATAAACATAAGAGCTAAAGTTGCCAGCCTTCTAAAACAGTGCTACGCAATAGGCTATAATATGAGTCACAAATGTGAGCCACATCGGTAATCTTTAATCTTCTGGTAGCCACATTTTAAAAAGTAAAAAGTAATCAATGAAATTATTTTTAACAATGTTTTATTTAACCCAATACATCCAAAATATAATTTTAGCATGGAATCAGTATAAAAGATTATTGGCATATTTAACATTTTTTTCTCATACTTAGTCTTTCTTGAAATTATTCCTTAGAGCCTCCAGGGCTTAGAAATTCCTTAATTTTACATCCTGCCATGTCAAGATTTCTTCCAGTTCCGGGGATTCTAGGATTTGCAGAAGACATCAGTACCACTTACATTTCCAACTCTGGGTCCCGGAAAGAAAGAGTACAGAGACACAGTCGAGGCTGGCACCCACCTTAGCCTCCTCCTCTCCCAGCCTTCCTCCACACACCAGGCAACTCACCCTGCCGGCAAGCTCGGGGTTTCATGAAGTGCCAGGCACTGGTGGGAAGTGGTCAGGAGATAACACAAACCCTGATCTCCGCAACCAGCCTCAGGAAGTCCTTCTGAAACCTACCCAGCCCCATTCCTGCCGCAGCCTGGGTGCTTTCCCCGGCGGAGCCACACGTCTGCAGAGGGTGATTCTAGAACACCCTTCCTCCCAATAACCCAGGGCTTCCTCCTTCATCTGCTTCAGGACTCAGCTCGCATGGCACCTCTCGGGAAATCTCACTCTCATGATAATAACTTCAAATTGCACCTGGCTCCTTTCATCTTCCGTGCCTTGCTTTTCTCTTAATCATCCTTTATTTTCGGACACCCCTGTAGTTGACTTCAGTGACTTTTTATTGGCCACGTCTTTCAACCGAAGGTAAATTCCTTGAGAGCCATGATTTGTGCCTGTTTGGATTTGACCCAAGCGCCTAGAATAGCGCCTGACGAAAAGTAGATGCTCAACCAACAGTTAGGGGCTGAATAAATCTAGAGACCAGAACCTCTTAAAGTTGAGTCTGGGGCTGACAGGTCGGTATTTTCCCAATATATGATTTTTGAGGTCCACAGGGGAGCGGTGGGGAGAGGCTTACCCAGGGTGGTGAGCGCAGCCTCAGTGGCAGAAATCCCCGTGCGCCCCCTCCTGCCGCAGAGGAAGACAGACCCCTACGGAGCCTCCAGGGCGCAGTCTCCAGGGCGGAGTCCCGGGGCGCTTCGGGCAGGGAGTCTGGGCCAAAGCGCCAAAATCCGCCGCTGTCGCTCAGCTGCAGCACGTTTCGCGCTGGGGAGCCTCTCCTGGTGGGCGACCGTCATGGACAATCGACAAGACCAGAAATTAGATTTGAGTCCAGAATCAAGGACCTTTAAGCAGGGATTGGAGATGGCAGGGGGCCAGGATTAAGGGATATAGACAGCAGGTCCTGTCTGCTTAGGTTGCAAATGGGAAGAAGAGGCCGGATGCCAGGGTCCTGGACTCTCAGGGTTCGGGTGGGGCCAGAATCCTGGACTCTCAAGGCTGGGGAGGGGCCGCCCTCCAGGATCCAATAGGGTATAGGTTCAGATGCCTGGGTCCTGGAGGTCCGGGTAGTGGCGGAGGAACCGCCCTCGGGTTCCCGATGGATTGGGGACAAATGCTCAGCCCAGTCTGATTCCAGAAATCCTTGTAACCCAATATAGTCTCCAGCTCCGATGCCATGTCCTTCCCGGGTCCCAACGTGCTGGGGCTGGAGACTCATCTAGGGGATTCCGGGGAGGAGGGATCTTCCTCTCTGGAAGCAGCAGAACAAATTTCAGGGACTCAGGAGTCCAAGGCCTCATTCCAAAAACACTGAGAGGCTGCGTACTGGGAGCACAGTATGTCTGTGGGGTCCACCCAGACCTGGGAACCAGGTCTTAGGGCCTGCAGACCTCCCTCTGCCTTGAGGTCAGAGTCCACTGCCACTAACTGGGAGGAAACACCTGTCGCGGGACGGGGTCGCCCGCATGTGCACAGAGCCCTGTTCTGCCGAGATCCGAAGGGGAACCTGGGGAGGTCCCAGATGGGGAAGGGACAGGAGAGCTGGGTGTCTCTCCTCAGTCCTTCGGCCACACGGGGCCGCTGCCGCTCTACGCTTGGGTTCTGATGAGCTGCTCTGGAGAGGACGGGGCGGTGGTCTGAGTAAGACACAGATTGTTGATCCAGAAAGGATGTATCAATGAGGTGGGGCTGGGGTTGTCCAGGGGGTGGAAAGGCCTTCTGAGAAGCCCTGGACTGCGCGGGGTTCCGGCTCTGCGGAACAGAGGAGGGCTCTGGAGCTGCCTGTCTCTGAGGTTTCCAACTCCTCCTTGCAAACCCTCCCTCCAGCCTTTTCATGGCAACACTCCAGGAAAATGGAAAGTTGATCATTTTTTTCTTCCACTCCTTAATCCTTTCCTGACTGCTACTTTTAGATAATTTTATTTTAGAAGAGTTTTAAATTTACATAAAAGTTGCAATGGTAGTACAGAGTTGCCATCCGCTCCACAGTCAGTTTCCCCTGATGTTAACATCTCTCATTACTATGGTCCATTTGTCACAGCTAATGAAGCCATTTTCATACCTTATTATTACTAAACTGCAGACTTTATTTGGAGTTCATTAGCGTTCCCCTAATGTCCTTTCTGTGTTTCAGGATTCCATGGAGAATATCACACTACATTTAGTCTCTGTCGTGCCTCCACGGCATCCTCTGGTCTGTGACAATTCCTGAGATTTTCCTAATTTTTGATGCCTTTCACAATATCGGGAAGTACTGACCAGATATATTGTAAAATATCCCTCAAACTGAATTTAGTTGGGGTGTAGATCATGGTTAGACTATGGTTATGGATGTTTAGATGAGGTGAAGTGCTGTTCTCCAAACACATTATCAAGATTATATCAATTTGATGTACCACTGTTGATGTTGAAGTTGACCATCCATATTTTTACTTCCTGTAGCTGCCACAAAAATGCCCTCAAAGTTGGCAACTTACAACAACAGAAAATTATTCTTTCACAGTTCTGGAGGCCCAGGGCATTGGTCAGCGTTCTTTGGCTTGTAGCCCCATTGCTCCAGTCTCTGCCTCCTTCTTCACATTGCCTTCTCCTCTTCTGACTCTCTCTTCTGTGTACCTGTTAGGAAGACACTTTTCATTGGATTTAGGGCCCACCTAGGTCATCCAGGAGGATCTCCTCATTTCAATATCCTCAGCTTAATTACATCTGCAAAGACCCTTTTTTTCCAAACAACTTGAAATTCACAGCTTCTGGGGACTAGGACAGAAACATATCTTTGTGGGGACAACCATTCAACCCACTACATCTGGCTAAGCTAATATTTCCCAGAGTGGCAATCCACCAGTGCACCCCAGGTTACAATCCTCATTCTAATTCCCAAATAAACTCAACATATTTGGACATTTCTTTAATGTCTTTTTTTTTTTAGGTTGAAAAATCTGGTATCAGAAGTGATCCTGAAGAAAGATTACCTTTGGAAGAGACTTATGCTGAGTTCATTGCTTGATTTCTTGCCTCTGTTTCTGAACATCTTTTGAGAGCAAAATTTACTTTCTAAAAAGATGAGTATGTGTCGACCCTTTAAAAGCTGTTTGGGCTATTGTCGCCATTCAATGAGAAACTTCAGTCTCCCCAAAGAGAAATTATCTGTTGTCAGGATAAACTGGTACATGAATAAACAAAATTGCCATTAGGGGTCGCACCAGTCTCAAGAAAAATCTGGAGAAAATGGTCACAGGATGGACAATTAGATCACAGGCTGCCCACTAAGTAAAAACAAAAATCCTATACTAGGCACACTATTAAAAAACAAATCGCTCCAGCCTCTACCATTTCCTCACAGGGATTATGGAATTTTTCTTTTGCTGTCGAGAAATTAATAAGAGGCAGAACAGGATGCCAAAATTCCAAAGCATCCAATATAGGCCGTCTTCTGGGACTCCTGTCAGCTATATGGTCAAAATTTATGGTCGGTGGCTCATGCCTATAATCCCAGCACCTTGGGAGACCAAGGTGGAAGGATCACTTGAGCTCATGAGTTTGAAACCATCCTGGGCAACATAGCAAGAGCTCATCTCTATTTTTAAAAATTAAAATAAATAAGGAAAGAAAAAAAAATTAAGGTCCTCTCCTGTGTACGTTTTGAAATCAATGGGTAGAGTACGCCAAAGTTAATTTGGATCTTCAATGGCCATCCTTGGGGCCTTTTGAGTTCCCCAAACTTGTCTTCCTTAAAACAAAACTAGAAGACCATGGTCCTAAAATTAAACAATGTGAATGGGAGGCTTAGTTTACTTGGTACTTCAAAGTTTCATAATGCATTCGGGATTCAAACATTGCCTCCCTCTAAGATTCTATCACAAAATTAACTGAGACCAGCAAACAGTTAAGGAAGGACAACAAGGCTTTAGGGCCCCAGATTCTTTCCTCTCCAGAGGAGAGATTTCCTGTTCTCTTTCCTCTGTTCTTCTGTATCCACCTTTGGCTGAATTACCTTTCCCTCCAATTCCTCAGCTTCCACTACCCTTGAACCTGGACTGTTAAAACTTATCCCCTTAATGGCCGGGCACCATAGCTCACGCCTGTAATCCCAGCACTTTGGGAGGCTGAGGCAGGCAGATCACGAGGTCAGGAGATCGAGACCATCCTGGCTAACACGATGAAACCCCGTCTTTACTAAAAATACAAAAAATTAGCCGGGCGTGGTGGCAGGTGCCTGTGGTCCCAGCTACTCAGGAGGCTGAGGCAGGAGAATGGCGTCAACCAGGAGGTGGAGGTGGCAGTGAGCCGAGATCACGCCACTGCACTCCAGCCTGGGTGACAGAGCGAGACTCCGTCTCAAAAAAAAAAAAAAAGAAAAGAAAAGAAAAGAAAAAAGAAGAAGATACTTGAACAAGCATATTGATAGCAGCACAATTGGTGATTGCAAAAATATGGAACCAGCCCAAATGCCCATCAATCAATGAATGGATAAAGAAAATGTAATTTTATATATATCTATATCTATATATATCTATATCTATATATAGATATATAGATATATAATGGAATACTACACAGTCATAAAAAGAAAGGAAATAATGGCATTCAAAGCAACCTGGATGGAGCTGGAGACCATTATTCTGAGTGAATTAACTCCGGAATGGAAAACCAAGCATTGTATGTTCTCACTTATAAATGGGAGCTAAGCTATGAGAACACAAAGGCTTAAGAATGATACAATGGACTTTGGGAACTGGCGGGGGAAGGGTGGGAGGGAGCTGAGGGATACAAGACTACACATTGTGTACAGTGTACACTAATCAGGTGCTGGATGCGCCAAAATCTTGGAAATCACCACTAAAGAACTTATCCATGTAAACAAACACCACCTGTTCCCCCAAAACTATTGAAATTTAAAAATGTTTTAAATAAATAAAATTTAAAAGGATTAAAAATGGATTATTTGCTTTCAAAAAAAAAGAAATCACCACTTGCACAGTTTTTATGTAATGTGAAATATGAATATCCACAATTACATGAAAAGCTGTTAAAAATAATCCTCCCAGTCCGGGCATGGTAGCTCACACATGTTGTTCCAGCTACTGGGAAGGCTGAGGTGAGAGAATCCCTTGAGCCCAGGAGTTCTAGGCTGCAGTGAGCTATTATGGTGCCACTGCACTCCAGCCTGGGTGACAGAGCGAGACCCTGTCTCTAAACAACAGCAATAATAATCCTTCCTTCCTGAGTCAGACGGGCATGGAGACGCTTCTGGAAGGAACACCGCAATGGCTGCGCAGGGACAGCCCCAGGTCCAGTTCAAACTTGTATTGGTTGGTGATGGTGGTACTGGAAAAACGACTTTCATGAAACATCATTTGACTGGTGAATTTGAGAAGAAGTATGTAGCCACCTTGGGTGTTGAGGTTCATCCCCTAGTGTTCCATACCAACAGAGGACCTGTTAAGTTCAATGTATGGGACACAGCCGGCCTGGAGAAATTCAGTGGACTGAGAGATGGCTATTATATCCAAGCCCAGAGTACCATCATAGTGTTTGATGTAACATCGAGAGTTACTTACAAGAATGTGCCTAACTGGCATAGAGATCTGGTATGAGTGTGTGAAAACACCCCCACTGTGTTGAGTGGCAACAAAGTGGATATTAAGGACAGGAAAGTGAAGGCGAAATCCATTGTCTTCCACCGAAAGAAGAATCTTCAGTACTACGACATTTCTGCCAAAAGTAACTATAACTTTGAAAAGCCCTTCCTCTGGCTTGCTAGGAAGCTCATTGGAGACCCTAACTTGGAATTTGTTGCCATGCCTGCTCTCGCCCCACCAGAAGTTGTCATGGACCCAGCTTTGGCAGCACAGTATGAGCACGACTTAGAGGTTGCTCAGACAACTGCTCTCCCGGACGAGGATGATGACCTGTGAGAATGAAGCTGGAGCCCAGCGTCAGAAGTCTAGTTTTATAGGCAGCTGTCCTGTGATGTCAGTTGTGCAGCGTGTGTGCCACCTCATTATTATCTAGCTAAGCGGAACATGTGCTTCATCTGTGGGATGCTGAAGGAGATGAGTGGGCTTCGCAGTGAATGTGGCAGTTCAAAAAATACCTTCATTGTTTGGACCTGCATATTTAGCTGTTTTGGAACACAGTTGATTCCTTGAGTTTCAAATATAGACTGCTACAGTCACATCACAATATTCAGCGGTGAAATCTTGTTTGTTACTGTCATTCCCATTCCTTTTCGTTTAGAATCAGAATAAAGTTGTATTTCAAATATCTAAAAACAAAAAATCCTTCCTTTTTCAACTCAATATTTGTGTAAGGCTAGATTTTTTAACATATACACTTCAATCAAAGTAAGAAAATGGCTGGGATGCAGCTGGAGGCCATAATCCTAAGTGAATTAATGCAGGAACAGAAAACCAAATACTGCATCTTCTCACTTATAATTGGGAGCTAAACACTGAGCACACATAGACATAAACATGTGTATAACAGACACTGTAGATGACTAGAGTGGAGAGGGTGGGGACGTGGGTTGAAAAACTACCTGTGGGTACTATGTTCACTACCTGAGTGACAGGATCCATACCCCAAACCTCAGCATCAGACAACATACCCATGTAACAAACCGGCACATGTAACCCCTGTATCTATTTTTTTCTGGTTTTTTTTTTTTTTTTGAGACAATTTCACTCTTGTTGCTCAGGCTGGAGCGCAATGGCGTGATCTCGGCTCATCGCAACCTCTGCCTCCCGGGTTCAAGCGATTCTCCTGCCTCAGCCTCCTGAGTAGCTGGGATTACAGGTATGCGCCACCACCTCCAGCTAATTTTGTATTTTTAGTAGACATGGGGTTTCTCCATATTGATAAGGCTGGTCTCGAACTCCCGACTGGGATTACAGGCGTGAGCCACCGCGCCTGGCCACCCCCTGTATCTAAAATAAAAGTTAAAAATTTAAAAATAAGTACATAAGAGAATGTATGCTATGAGCCAAGAATGATGCTTGCAAAATTTTGCAAGAACAACACTTATGAAAATGAAAAATAATCACTCTTCTTGTTACCAAAAATCTTGGTAGCTGCAGAAGGTGGGATCTTTCCTCACTGGGAGTCGCAGAGCCAATACATGAAACCAAAAGTGAGCCTTAAGCAGAGCAAGCTTTATTTCCTGCACAGGACTTGTAAAGAGGAGAGCAGCTCTGCCAAGTCAACTTCTCCACTAGTGAGGCGGCTAGTGAGGGGTGAGGGGGCTAAAATGTAGGATTGCTCTAATGAAGGGGTTGGGCATTAAAAGTGAGGGGGAGGAATATTCATATGTTTTATGGGAACAGGCAGTGAACTTCTCCAAACTGGTAATACCGCTTTCCTTTTGGTCCTTTTAGGACTTCTTCTACTCATCGTCATGGAGATCGTCAACTGTCATGGCATGGATGGGAGCGCAATTTAGCCTGGAAACGGGATTACAATGAAGCATGAGGTCTTTTTGAAGTCATTTGGCCGGCTCTCTTGGTTGTAACGAGTCTCAGCTGGTTTGACTACAAAGGCAACTTCTTGAAGCAGATCCTGTTTTTTTGTTTTTGTTTTTGTTTTTTGTTTCTTGTTTTTTCCCCCTAGACATCTCACTCTGTCGCCCAGGCTGGAGTGCAGTGGTGTGATCTCGGCTCACTGCAACCACCACCTCTCGGGTTCAAGCAATTCTCCTATCTCAGCCTCCAGAGTTGCTGGAATTACAGGCGCGCACCACCACACCCGGCTAATTTTTGTATTGTTAGTAGAGACAGGGTTTCATCATGTTGGCCAGGTTAGTCTTGAACTCCTGACCTCGTGATCTGCCTGCCTCGGCCTACCAAAATGCTGCGATTACAGGCGTGAGCCACCGTTCCCGGCCTATACGTTGTTTATTTTGGAAAAATTAAAAATTAAGTTTTTTTTCATTAAAGATATGTTATTTCCGATCAAGAGATCAAGACCATCCTGGCCAACATGGTGAAACCCCGTCTCTACTAAAAACACAAAAATTAGCTGGGTGTGGTGGCACACGCCTGTAGTTCCAGTTACTGGGGAGGCTGAGGCAGGAGAATCGCTTGAACCCGGGAGAAGGAGGTTGCAGTGAGCCGAGATCATGCCACTGCACTCCAGCCTGGGGACAGAGCAAGACTCTGACTCAAAAAAAAAAAAAAGTTGTTTCTATTAACATGTAATGGGTTATTAATATTCTCTTAAATGAATTAATATTTTTAATATTTTGTTTTAATATCTTTTAATTTATATATGATAAAAATTGATACAATCCACAGAAACAAAATTTATTTGGGTCCTCACTAATTTCTTTTTTCTTGTTGCCCAGGCTGGAGGGCAATGGCACGATCTTGGCTCACCGCAACCTCCTCCTCCTGGGTTCAAGTGATTCTCCTGCCTCAGCCTCCCAAGTAGCCAGGATTACAGCCATGCGCCACCACGCCGGCTAATTTTTTGGACTTTTAGTAGAGACAGGGTTTCTCCATATTGGTCGGGCTGGTCTCGAACTCCCAACCTCAGGTGATCAGCCCGCCTTGGCCTCCCAAAGTGCTGAGATTACAGGCGTGAGCCACCGCGCCCAGCCAGGACTAATTTCTAAGAGTGTGCAGAGATACCGAAACCTAAAAGTTTAAGAACTGCTGATTGCTGGGAAACTCTGCAGTTTCCCGTTCCTCTCGTAACCTGGTCATGTGTCCTTCTTCCTGGATACTCATGACGCAGACTCAGTTCTCATTCCCAATGGGTGTCGGGTTTCTAGAGAAGCCAATCAGCGTCGCCACGACTCCCGACTATAAAGTCCCCATCCGGACTCAAGAAGTTCTCAGGACTCAGAGGCTGGGATCATGGTAGATGGAACCCTCCTTTTACTCCTCTCGGAGGCCCTGGCCCTTACCCAGACCTGGGCGGGTGAGTGCGGGGTCGGGATGGAAACGGCCTCTACCGGGAGTAGAGAGGGGCCGGCCCGGCGGGGGCGAAGGACTCGGGGAGCCGCGCCGGGAGGAGGGTCGGGCCGATCTCAGCCCCTCCTCGCCCCCAGGCTCCCACTCCTTGAAGTATTTCCACACTTCCGTGTCCCGGCCCGGCCGCGGGGAGCCCCGCTTCATCTCTGTGGGCTACGTGGACGACACCCAGTTCGTGCGCTTCGACAACGACGCCGCGAGTCCGAGGATGGTGCCGCGGGCGCCGTGGATGGAGCAGGAGGGGTCAGAGTATTGGGACCGGGAGACACGGAGCGCCAGGGACACCGCACAGATTTTCCGAGTGAACCTGCGGACGCTGCGCGGCTACTACAATCAGAGCGAGGCCGGTGAGTGACCCCGGCCAGGGGAGCAGGTCACGACCCCTCCCCATCCCCCACGGACGGCGCGGGTCCCCTCGAATCTTCGGGTCCCAGATTCACCCCAAGGCTGCGGAACCCGCCCAGACCCTAGACCGGGGAGAGTCTCAGGCGCCTTTACCCGGTTCTTTTTCAGTTTAGGCCAAAATGCCCACAGGGTGGTGGCGACGGGGGCGGGGCTTGGTGGGCGGGACTGACTAAGGGGCGGGGCCAGGGTCTCACACCCTGCAGTGGATGCATGGCTGCGAGCTGGGGCCCGACAGGCGCTTCCTCCGCGGGTATGAACAGTTCGCCTACGACGGCAAGGATTATCTCACCCTGAATGAGGACCTG
Source organism: Homo sapiens (assembly GCF_000001405.40). Classification (NCBI taxonomy): domain Eukaryota; kingdom Metazoa; phylum Chordata; class Mammalia; order Primates; family Hominidae; genus Homo; species Homo sapiens. The sequence continues at coordinate 1,746,191 of NT_167245.2, forward strand.
CGCTCCTGGACCGCGGTGGACACGGCGGCTCAGATCTCCGAGCAAAAGTCAAATGATGCCTCTGAGGCGGAGCACCAGAGAGCCTACCTGGAAGACACATGCGTGGAGTGGCTCCACAAATACCTGGAGAAGGGGAAGGAGACGCTGCTTCACCTGGGTAAGAGGGTCCACAGGGCTACTCTCCCATCTCCTTCTTGGGCTAGGACTGTGCCCACAGCTGACAGACCTCAAACAGTAGAAGAAACAGGGATGGAGGCCAGAATACCACTCCTCCCTTGGATCAGGAGAGGGAGCTGTCACCTGAGGTACAGGAGATCCTATACCACAGAGTGACTCTCTTAAAGGGCCAGACCTCTCTCAGGGGCAATTAAGGAATCTAGTCTCGCTGGAGATTCCATCCTTCAGATGAACTGATGAGCAGTTCTCTTTGACTCCCAGTATTAGGAATCACGGGGGAGTTTCTCTCGTGCCTGATTCTCAGCCCCACACCAAGAGTTTTTGGAGGTCTGACTCCAGCTTTTCTCAGTCACTCAGCATCCACACAGGCCAGGACCAGAAATCCCTTTTCACCTTCTACCCTGGGCTAGCTCATCCCGATTCTAGAACTTTCCAAGGAATAAGAGGCTATCCCAGATCCCTAAGTCCAGGCTGGTGTCAAGGTTTTGTCCTCTTCTCCTACTATAATTGTCCTCTTCCTTCTCAGGATGGTCACATGGGTGCTGCTGGAGTGTCCCATGAGAGATACAAAGTGCCTGAATTTTCTGACTCTTCCCCTCAGAGCCCCCAAAGACACACGTGACTCACCACCCCATCTCTGACCATGAGGCCACCCTGAGGTGCTGGGCCCTGGGCTTCTACCCTGCGGAGATCACACTGACCTGGCAGCAGGATGGGGAGGGCCATACCCAGGACACGGAGCTCGTGGAGACCAGGCCTGCAGGGGATGGAACCTTCCAGAAGTGGGCAGCTGTGGTGGTGCCTTCTGGAGAGGAGCAGAGATACACGTGCCATGTGCAGCATGAGGGGCTACCCGAGCCCGTCACCCTGAGATGGAGTAAGGAGGGGGATGGGAGGTCATGTCTCTTCTCAGGGAAAGCGGGAGCCCTTCTGGAGCCCTTCCGCAGGGTCAGGGCTGAGGCCTGGGGGTCAGGGCCCCTTACGTTCCCCTCTTTTCCCAGAGCCGGCTTCCCAGCCCACCATCCCCATCGTGGGCATCATTGCTGGCCTGGTTCTCCTTGGATCTGTGGTCTCTGGAGCTGTGGTTGCTGCTGTGATATGGAGGAAGAAGAGCTCAGGTGGGGAAGGGAGAAGGGTGGGGTCTGAGTTTTCTTGTCCCACTGGGTGTTTCAAGCCCTAGGTAAAAGTGTGTCCTGCCTCGTTACTGGGAAGCACCATCCACACACACGAGCCTACCCAGCCTGGGGCCCTGTGTGCCAGCACCTACTCTTTTTTTTTGAGACGGAGTCTTGGCTCTGTCACCCAGGCTGGAGTGCAATGGCGTGGTTTCAGCTCACTGCAACCTCCGCCTCCCAGGTTCAAGCAATTCTCCTGCCTCAGCCTCCCTAGTAGCTGGGACTACACATGCGTGCCACCACACCTGGCTAATTTTTTTTTTTGTATTTTTAGTGGAGATGGGGTTTCACTATGTTGGCCAGGCTGGTCTCGAACTCCTGACTTTGTGATCTGCCTGCCTCGGCCTCCCAAAGTGCTGGGATTACAGTCGTGAGCCACCGCACCCAGCCGCACCTACTCTTTTGTAAAGCACCTGTGACAATGAAGGACAGATTTATCACCTTGACGATTGTGGTGATGGGGACCTGATCCCAGCAGTCACAGGTCACAGGGGAAGGTCCCTGCTGAAGACAGACCTCAGAAGGGCAGTTGATCCAGGACCCACACCTGCTTTCTTCACGTTTCCTGATCCTGCCCTGGGTCTGCAGTCACAGTTCAGGAAACTTCTCTGGGATCCAAAACTAGGAGGTTCCTCTAGGACCTTATGGCCCTGCCTCCTCCCTGGCCCCTCACAGGACATTTTCTTCCAACAGGTGGAAAAGGAGGGAGCTACTCTAAGGCTGAGTGTAAGTGCGGGGCGGGAGCGTGGAGGAGCTCGCCCACCCTATAATTCCTCCTGCACCACATCTCCTGTGGGCTCTGACCAGGTCTTGTTTTTGTTCTACCCCAGGGAGCGACAGTGCCCAGGGGTCTGAGTCTCACAGCTTGTAAAGGTGAGATTCTGGGGGTCTGAAGTGGGTGGAGGGTGGGGCAGAGGGGACAGGACTGGGTTGTGGGGATTTTTTGATTCAGAATTTTTGAGTGTGTGGTGGGCTGTTCAGAGTGTCATCACTTACCGTGACTGACCTGAATTTGTTCATGACTATTTTCTTCTGTAGCCTGAGACAGCTGCCTTGTGTGCGACTGAGATGCACAGCTGCCTTGTGTGCGACTGAGATGCAGGATTTCCTCACGCCTCCCCTATGTGTCTTAGGGGACTCTGGCTTCTCTTTTTGCAAGGGCCTCTGAATCTGTCTGTGTCCCTGTTAGCACAATGTGAGGAGGTAGAGAAACAGTCCACCTCTGTGTCTACCATGACCCCCTTCCTCACACTGACCTGTGTTCCTTCCCTGTTCTCTTTTCTATTAAAAATAAGAACCTGGGCAGAGTGCGGCAGCTCATGCCTGTAATCCCAGCACTTAGGGAGGCCGAGGAGGGCAGATCACGAGGTCAGGAGATCGAAACCATCCTGGCTAACACGGTGAAACCCCGTCTCTACTAAAAAATACAAAAAATTAGCTGGGCGCAGAGGCACGGGCCTGTAGTCCCAGCTACTCAGGAGGCGGAGGCAGGAGAATGGCGTCAACCCGGGAGGCGGAGGTTGCAGTGAGCCAGGATTGTGCGACTGCACTCCAGCCTGGGTGACAGGGTGAAACGCCATCTCAAAAAATAAAAATTAAAAAATAAAAAAAGAACCTGGATCTCAATTTAATTTTTCATATTCTTGCAATGAAATGGACTTGAGGAAGCTAAGATCATAGCTAGAAATACAGATAATTCCACAGCACATCTCTAGCAAATTTAGCCTATTCCTATTCTCTAGCCTATTCCTTACCACCTGTAATCTTGACCATATACCTTGGAGTTGAATATTGTTTTCATACTGCTGTGGTTTGAATGTTCCCTCCAACACTCATGTTGAGACTTAATCCCTAATGTGGCAATACTGAAAGGTGGGGCCTTTGAGATGTGATTGGATCGTAAGGCTGTGCCTTCATTCATGGGTTAATGGATTAATGGGTTATCACAGGAATGGGACTGGTGGCTTTATAAGAAGAGGAAAAGAGAACTGAGCTAGCATGCCCAGCCCACAGAGAGCCTCCACTAGAGTGATGCTAAGTGGAAATGTGAGGTGCAGCTGCCACAGAGGGCCCCCACCAGGGAAATGTCTAGTGTCTAGTGGATCCAGGCCACAGGAGAGAGTGCCTTGTGGAGCGCTGGGAGCAGGACCTGACCACCACCAGGACCCCAGAACTGTGGAGTCAGTGGCAGCATGCAGCGCCCCCTTGGGAAAGCTTTAGGCACCAGCCTGCAACCCATTCGAGCAGCCACGTAGGCTGCACCCAGCAAAGCCACAGGCACGGGGCTACCTGAGGCCTTGGGGGCCCAATCCCTGCTCCAGTGTGTCCGTGAGGCAGCACACGAAGTCAAAAGAGATTATTCTCTTCCCACAGATACCTTTTCTCTCCCATGACCCTTTAACAGCATCTGCTTCATTCCCCTCACCTTCCCAGGCTGATCTGAGGTAAACTTTGAAGTAAAATAAAAGCTGTGTTTGAGCATCATTTGTATTTCATTTGTGCGTTTTGTGCCTTGTTGTTTTAATTTTTTAACCACATTCAAGCTATCCTTTGGCTTCCAATGCCATGGTCCACCCAGAACTGCATTCACTGGCCCGTGTTCTAGTTCTGGTCATGCCGACTTTCCCGTTTTCCTGGTGAATCCCTGTAATCACCTGAGTCTCATTCTGTCAGGTGATATCCAGTAAGAAGGCAACATGTGCGGTGAGAAAGCCCAGGGAGTCCTGGGTGTGAATTTTTACTTTGCCATTTCTTCCTGTGTGACACGCGGTGGGGCTTCACCTGTCTGAGCTCCAGTTCCTCATCTTGTACGTGGCACTGTTTTCTTGGGAGAGTCATTATAAAGCTAATATAAAGTACCTGTACTGTGGTTTGAATGTGTCCTCCAAAAAGCGTGTGTTGGAAACTGAATCCACAATGCAACCATATCGGGAAGTGAATCCTAATGGCTGGCTGGCCATGGAGGTTCCAACTTTATGAATGGATTAATACTGATTATAAAAGGGCTTGAGGTTGAGGCAAGTTCAACCTCTTGCCCTCACTCACCCACTTGCCTTTACCAAGAGATGATACAGCAAAAAGACTCACCAAATGCCGGGATCTTGATATTAGACTTCTTATCCTCCAGAACCATGAAATAGGCTGCTTTGCTTTATAAATTACTCAGTCTGCGTATTATATTACAGCAACACAAGATGGGCAACCTGATACTTAGGTTTCAGTTAGTGGTAGATATTTTTATTTCAAGCATTCCTACTGGAGTATTAGTTTCTTCATAAGCCCAGAATCTTTGCATTTTAGCAACAACAAATAAGTCTTTTTTTTTTTTTTTTTTTTGAGACTGAGTTTCACTCTTGTCACCCAGGCTAGAGTGCAATGGCATGACCTTGGCTCACTGCAAACTTGGCCTCCCAGGTTTAAGTGATTCTCCTGCTTCAGCCTCCCAAGTAGCTGGGATTACAGGCGCCTGCTACCACGCCCAGCTAATTTTTGTATTTTTAGTAGAGACAGAGTTTCATCATGTTGGCCAGCTGGTCTCGAACTCCTGATCTCAGGTGATCCACCCACCTTGGCCTCCCAAAGTGCTGGGATTATAGGCATGAGCCACCACGTTCCACCAGAAGTCTTAATTAATGCAAAGAAAATCAATCTATAGATTTGATGGAAATTTGGACTCCTATATCCTACTTTTTATCCCACTCCTATATACTACTCCTTATTAGTGTCCCAGAAAGATGAACTATTTTCCTTCTCTACTTGGTCTGCCCATTTCTACTTCCTGCCATATCGGCAGGCTATGTTTGCCTCACCTCAAAGATCTGCCTTCCTCAGTTTTAGATCTTAAATCTTTTTAAGCCAGACTCCAAGGGATCTTTAACAAATATTTATCGAACCCTTCCTGTGTTCAAAGAATGTTGTGAGGTCCAGGGTGGGACTAGGGGGCGAGAAAGGTTCCTGCGCTGAAGGAATCTAAGATTTAGTAACAATGAATAAACAGACTTGAAGATAACTATTGTGGTTAGCGCTGAAAGAAACGTACAAAATGCCAAAAGTCAAGGAGGAAACTATGTTTTCTAGGACAGTGGTTCCCAACATTTTTGGCATCAGGGACCGGTTTCATGGAAGACAATTTTTCGGAGGGGTGGTTTTGGGATGATTCAAGCGCGTTACCTGTATTGTGGACTTTATTTCTATTATTACATTATAATACATAATGAAATAATTATACAACTCACCATAATGTAGAGTCAGTAGGAGCCCTGAGCTTGTTTTCCTGCAACTAGACAGTCCCATCTGAGGGTGATGGGAGACACTGACAGGTCATCAGGCATTAGATTCTCATAGGAGCGAGCAACCTAGATCCCTCGCATGCACAGTTCACAATAAGATTCACACTCCTATGAGAATCTAACCCCACTGCTGATCTGACAGGAGGCAGAGCTCAGGCGCTAATGCTTGGTCACCTGCCACTCACCTCCTGCTGTGCAGCCCAGTTCCTAACAGGCCATGGACCGGTACCAGTCCATGGCCCAGGGCTTGGGAACCCCTGTTTTAGGAGACTTAGGTTTTTCTAAAGGAAAAAATGTTTGAGTTATGCTTTGAAAAATGTAAGACACCACTGTAGATGTTTTAATCAGGGAATTGGGTTATTACCAAAAAAAAATGTTGGAAGATGAAAGAGCAGGTTCTTTATGCCTCCTGGCTTGACCCTGGAACAATTTAGAACCAGCCCAGTGAGGCATGTACTCCCCATGAGGCCACACAAGAGCTGTGCTTTCTTAGATCTGGATCCCACTACCACATAGGGGTTCCTGGGCACCTGGACACCAGGGAAGAGGGGTCAACCAGGTCCCACTCCTCTGGCATGACACTCAGTGATTCAGTCAAGATACTGTTGGGAAAACAGCCCATGCCATGGGACTTCCCCATGGTCGGAAAAGTCTTGAATAGCTAAAAGCAAAACAGGATAGTTAGGCTGCATTATGTAGATAATGGTGACTCATGGGCAGGCCCTGCCTCCTTGGGCCATTGTATGTGAACAGATCTTTGTGTGATTATGGGATAATTCTGGGTTCTTTTCTCCATGTGCCTGTTCTTAATTGGCCCAGGAGAGGGAACCCAAGGGAAGGAGGAACCCGAGTGATCTTGTCCTCTTTTGACATCTCATTTCTAGCCACAAGGTTATGAATCATAGATCTCCAGAAGTCAGTGGTCCTAGAGGAAAAAAGCATCTGCCATAGCAGCAGAATGACAGGGAGACAGCTATTCCTATTACTAGAGTTTTAACAGCCCCTCTCAGCCAGCTAGCCCAGACTAGGATCTTAACGGGGGCTGGGACTTACTTCCATATATTGTAAATGATGTAACCTTGTCTTCATGATGACCTTAAATATATCTTGATGAACAGTATAAGAAAGCAAATGAAGCCTGGGCGCGGTGGCTCACGCCTGTAATCCCAGCACTTTGGGAGGCTGAGGCGGGTTGATCACCTGAGGTTGGGAGTTCAAGACCAGCCTGACCAACACGGAGAAACCCTGTCTCTACTAAAAATAAAAAATTAGCTGGGCGTGGTGGCGCATGCCTGTAATCCTAGCTACTCAGGAGGCTGAGGCAGGAGAATCGCTTGAACCCAGGAGGCTGAGGTTGTGCAGTGAGCCAAGATCACACCATTGCACTCCAGCCTGAGCAAGAAGAGCGAAACTGCGCTTCGAAAAGAAAGAAAGAGAGAGAGGGAGGGAGGGAGGAAGGAAGGAAGGAGAGAGAAAGAAAGAAAGAGAGAGAGAAAGAAAGAAAGGAAAGAAGGAAAGAAGGAAAGAAAGGAAGAAAGGAAGAAAGAAAGAAAGGCAAATGATCACTTAGAGGATTTTGTTTGGTAGTTAAAACCATTTTGAAACAGAGGGAGGGAAGAAATCACCTATGCTTCCTCAGTGGTAAAGAGACTGGGAACCACCACGCCAGAGTTAGAAAATATGAGGCAACAGAAGGGCTGTTATATGTAGTGAAAATTTCCAAACCCGGTCCCCTGGAGGGAATACCTGGTGACTGGGCCTTAGAGGAAAGAGATGCTTGTCCAGCCCATTGCCTGTGTGTCCAGGAGAGACTGTGCCCACCTTGAGAGACTGAGAGAAGACCCTAGTGAGGAGAAGCCCCCAGGCCAGCCGTCAGCACAGGGCATTGGAGGTCCCCAACCAGCTCCAAGTCCTGAACAGAGCACAGCCTCCAGAGGTTTGTACTGTTCATACCCAGCAGAGGCTGTGTGCCAGCCCTCCCCATGCAAATCAGCGTCCCTGCAGGGTATGTAAAGGACCTCTACCTATGCTTTCTATGGGGGAACAAATATCCCATGGGACACTGAAAGACTATGGAACATTGTAGAACATGTATTTACCAAACTGTGTCCAACTCAGAGCCTAAATTGTTTATTGGTGCTGTTTCAACCAGTACACGTGATTCTTTTTTTTTTTTTTTTTTTAGTATTTATTGATCATTCTTGAGTGTTTCTCGGAGAGGGGGATTTAGCAGGGTCATAGGACAATAGTGGAGGGAAGGTCAGCAGATAAACATGTGAACAAAGGTCTCTGGTTTTCCTAGGCAGAGGACCCTGCGGCCTTCTGCAGTGTTTGTGTCCCTGGGTACTTGAGATTAGGGAGCGGTGATGACTCTTAATGAGGATGCTGCCTTCAAGCATCTGTTTAACAAAGCACATCTTGCACCGCCCTTAATCCATTTAACCCTGAGTGGACACAGCACATGTTTCAGAGAGCACGGGGTTGGGGGTAAGGCTATAGATCAACAGCATCCCAAGGCAGAAGAACCTCTCCCAGTACAGAACAAAATGGAGTCTCCCATGTCCACCTCTTTCCACACAGACACAGTAACAATCTGATCTCTCTTTCTTTTCCCCACATTTCCCCCTTTTCTATTCGACAAAACCGCCATCGTCATCATGGCCCGTTCTCAATGAGCTGTTGGGTACACCTCCCAGACGGGGTGGCGGCCGGGCAGAGGGGCTCCTCACTTCCCAGACTGGCCGGGCAGAGGCGCCCCCCACCTCCCGAACGGGGCGGCTGGCAGGGCGGGGGCTGCCCCCCACCTCCTGGACGGGGCGGCTGCCGGGCAGAGACGCTCCTCACTTCCCAGACGGGGCGGCTGCCGGGCGGAGGGGCTCCTCACTTCTCAGACAGGGCGGCCCGGCAGAGACGCCCCTCACCTCCCAGACGGGGTGGCGGTCGGGCACAGACACTCCTCAGTTCCCAGACGGGGTCGCCGCCGGACAGAGGCGCTCCGCACATCCCAGACGGGGCGGCGGGGCAGAGGCGCTCCCCACATCTCAGACGATGGGCGGCCGGGCAGAGACGCTCCTCACTTCCTAGATGGGGTGGTGGCCGGGCAGAGGCTGCAATCTCGGCACTTTGGGAGGCCAAGGCAGGCGGCTAGGAGGTGGAGGCTGTAGCGAGCCGAGATCACGCCACTGCACTCCAGCCTGGGCAAGATTGAGCACTGAGTGAGCGAGACTCCGTCTGCAATCCCGGCACCTCGGGAGGCCGAGGTGGGCAGATCACTCGCGGTCAGGAGCTGGAGACCAGCCCTGCCAACACGGGGAAACCCCATCTCCACCAAAAAATACAAAAACAAAAAAAACAAAAAAAAAAACCAAGTGATTCTTTCTGCAGAGGACATCTTGGCTCTTGGCACTCCACCACAGACTTGGTATGAGATCCTGGTTGAGCACTTTTTTTTTTTTTTTTTTTTTTTTTGAGACAGAGTTTCGCTCTTGTTTCCCAGGCTGGAGTGCAGTGGCATGATCTTGGCTCACTGCAACCTCCGCCTCCTGGATTCAAGCGATTCTCCTGCCTCAGCCTACGGAGTAGCTGGGATTACAGGCATGTGCCATCACGCCCTGGCTGATTTTGTACCTTTAGTAAAGACGGGGTTTCTCCATGTTGGTCAGGCTGGTCTCGAACTCCCGACCTCAGGTGATCCACACACCTTGGCCTCCCAAAGTGCTGGGATTACAGGCGTGAGCCAACGCACCCAGCCTGGCTGAGCACTTTCAAGTCTCATTCCTAACATCTGTCAGTTAAGCTGGGATAACAATTATCTGACTGACTGCACGGAATTCTGAATGAATTGAATTGGATAATACATGTAAATCCTTGTGGTGGGAATTTGGGTGCCATTTTCTTTGCATTATGAAAATCCAGGTCAACTCTTCTTTCTTCTCCCAATTGTTTTTATTGCACATCTATAAAAACAAGAAAAGAATTTTCTTGCTTTTCTTTTTTTTGAGACACAGTCTCGCACTGTCGCCCAGGCTGGAGTGCAATGGCACAACCTCTGCTCACTGCAAACTCTGCCTCCTGGGTTCATGCCATTCTCCTGCCTCAGCCTCCTGAGTAGCTGGGATTACAGGTGCATGCCACCACGCCCAGAAAATTTTTTGTATTTTTAGTAGAGACAAGGTTTCACCGTGTTAGCCAGGATGGTCTCAATCTCCTGTCCTCATGATCTGCCCACCTCCGGCTCCCAAAGTGCTGGGATTACAGTCATGAGCCACCGCGCCTGGCCAAGAATTTTCTAATAAACAAGAAAAACCTCACCTGTAATCCCACTACTTGGTACAATAATCATACTTATTTTTCTTTATTTCCTTCCAGTGTGAGCAAGGACAATTTAGCTTTGGGAACCCACAAAGAAACCATTTCAATTAAAAGCACAGGAAGCCCCACCAGTCCCATGAGGTTTTTGCCACCCCTAAGTAGTTCCATATGAGAAATTAAGAGTAGCGATGCTTGCTTTGAGGAATTGGAGGGAAAACTAAAATGAAAGTTGAATTTGGATAAGAGAAAAATCAAGGGCACTCACTCTTCCCAACCCCAGCCTGTCTGACTCTCTCCCCATCATCCTCCTCACTACTTTCAGGCAGGGTGGAGATAGCACCAGGGGGAGATTCTGGGAGACAGGGCACTACTGCAAGAACAGCAGGACAGCCCCACTGGTGGCTGTGGGATGCTCCGTGGCCCTGCCTACTGCTGTTCTGGAGGATGCACCGCCTCGCTTTCCTTTCTGGTGTTAGAGCCAGGTGACTCTGTCCAAAGAGTAGGTTCTTTTTCCCCACAGAGGCAAACAGGAAACGTTTCCTTTCCTAACTAGCTCTGCCTAGTGCCTGGAATCTTACTGAGTCAGTCCCGCAGTAAGTCAGCAGCTCAGGAAATCTACCCTCTCTGAGCCTCCCTGCAGTTCAAGCTGCTTAGGGAACTTGATATTTTCAAGACATCTGTCTACACATGGGCAGCCCAGCCGCCGAGTTAGTGGTGGCAACCAAAGCGAACAGAGGACTTGGCTTCCTGAAAACAGAGGCAAAGAAGTATAGCTATCCAACCTTCTGAGTCTTGTCTCTATATGGAGATGCCCATATGGACAAATAGGGTCTGGACAAGGGGAAGGGTTAACATGAGAAAGTCACATGATTTCTGCTATGCTATTCCTCTGTGCGCTTACCCTTTCTGTTTCTAAATATTTCAGCTAAAAGACAATAAATACTGCAACCCTTACATTCCTTCAGCCCTGCTTTCACTTGTCCTGGGTGTCCTGACTGTCATCTTCATTCATTTATATCAAACACCATTCAATCAATACTTACTACAAGCAAACTATATGTGAGATCAAGAGTACTATTCAAAATAGTTGACAGCTGGTATGGTAATGGAAATTAATATATAAATAAAATTTTCCCAATTATGCTATTTTTCTGTCCTAACTAAATGATTATAAAACTACTTACCAAGTGACACAGTTGAAATATAAATAATTTCTTAAATAGTTATAACAATTTCCAAATTATTTATTGATTTTTAAACATTTTTTGCATTTCTTAGGTGGTAATTATTGGTTAAGTGATATATGCCTATGTTAGCCATGATTTGACAAAAGAGCCTTGTATAAGCTTCTGATAATTTCCCCATTAAATTGTTTGTATATTATGACGTATGTAATCAACTATATTGTTCATGGTGCCAAATCCTCTCTCACTTTAGCAGCTATGTTAAAGATTTTTTAGCCCTTGAACTGCTGTCTGAAATTCTTTTTCTTTCTTTTTTTTTTTTCTTTTTTTGAGACAGTCTCACTCTGTCGCCCAGGCTGGAGTGCAGTGGTGCGATCTTGGCTCACTGCAACCTCCACCTCCCCGGTTCAAGCAATTCTCCTGCCTCAGCCTCCCGAGTAGCTGGGATTGCAGGCACATGCCACCACGCCCAGCTACTTTTTGTATTTTTAGTAAAGAGGGGGTTTCACCACGTAGGCCAAGCTGGTCTCAAACTCCTGACCTCAAATGATCCACCTGCCTCGGCCTCCCAAAGTGCTGGGATTACAGGCATGAGCCACCACGCCTGGCCTAGAAATTCTTTTTTTTTTTTTGAGACGGAGTCTCCTGTCGCCCAGGCTGGAGTGCGGTGGCGCGATCTCAGCTCACTGCAAGCTCCTCCTCCCGGGTTCACGCCATTCTCCTGCCTCAGCCTCCTGAGTAGCTGGGACTACAGGCGCCTGCCACCATGCCTGGCTCATTTTTTGTATTTTTAGTAGAGACGGGGTTTCACCATGTTAGCCAGGATGGTCTCGATCTCCTAACCTTGTGATCTGCCCGCCTCGGCCTCCCAAAGTGCTGGGATTACAGGCATGAGCCACCGCGCCCGGCCTAGAAATTCTTATTATTTAATATCTCCGTTCACTCCACCACAAAAATCAATTAATAAAAGCCATCTTTAATAAGTAGGCTTAATTGTATTGATTAAATTAAAAATTGTCTTGATTTAATAGGTTACATCTATGAAGCTTTGTAAACATCCTTCATGGTTGACTTAATTTAAAAATTTTAAGTTCTTAATATATTTTACTTTTGTCATCAAACTACAATTGCAATCACATAAATTATTAGATAATCTAATTGACTTTTTCTCTTGAAGTTGACATTTTTCTTTCAAATGGTATATCATATTTTTAAACAATACTATCTACTTTTTCCCCTTTGCTTTATGTATTTAATTTTATATATTAACTGATTCTTATTTTTCTACAATTAATCCAGCTTCTGTAATTTTTAATATTTCCTCTGGAAAGGATAAAGATAACATTGACATCTCTGTTAATATATAAGTTATTAACGTCAAATTTCTGGGAAAAAAAGTTTATGTCCTAAACACTTACTACTCCCATTTCACAACTTCTATTAAAGTGAATATAAAAGGTTTGGTACAATTCCCTAATGCTCTTGGCATCCCACTATTACAGAGTGCCCAAATATGCTTTCTAGTTTCATGACTTCAATTCCAGTATCTTTAGAAATATTTTTAATTTTCCCAAATGCTTATTTCATATGTAGTTGTGAATATAAAGTTTAGTGAGGCAAATATTTGAAGTAATTTTTCATTTAAACATTTTACTGCATCATCCTGACATCACTGAATACAGTAACTTATATAGTACCAATTTAAAATATAAAGAGACTTTTTTTTTTTTTTTTTTGAGACAGATTGTCGCTCTGTCACCAGGCTGGAGTGCAGTGGCATAATCTCTGCTCACTGCAAACTCTGCCTCCCAGGTTCAAGCGATTCTCCTGCCTCAGCCTCCCAAGCAGCTAGGACTATAGGTACATGCCACCACACCCAGCTAATTTTTGTATTTTTTGTAGAGACAGGGTTTCACCATGTTGGCCAGGATGGTCTCAATCTCTTGACCTCGTGATCTGCCTGCCTTGGCCTCCCAAAGTGCTGGGATTACAGGCATGAGCCATTGTGCCTGGCCATATAGAGACTTCTCTAAAACTTTGGCTTCTCTGAACTTTCTCTGTGACATATACTAGAACCATCTGTAGCATTGTGTAACCATTTCACATCAAAACCACTTTTCTTGAGCACTGATGAGTAAGTAAGCTTGATACATCATTTCAGTTCCTCAGATGAGCAAAAATCATTAGTTTTATATCATCAGTTTTATAAGTCTGAAATTTAGTATTTAAGTCACTAATAAAAACACGTTTTTGTGGCCGGGCGTGGTGGCTCACACCTGTAATCCCAGCACTTTGAGAGGCCAAGGTGTGCGGATCACGAGGTCAGGAGATCAAGACCATCCTGGCTAACACAGTGAAACCCCGTCTCTACTAAAAATACAAAAAATTAGCCGGGCATGGTGGCAGGCGCCTGTAGTCCCAGCTGCTCGGGAGGCTGAGGCAGGAGAATGGTGTGAACCTGGGAGGTGGAGCTTGCAGTGAACCGAGATCGCGCCACTGCACTCCAGCCTAGGTGACAGAGTGAGACTCCGTCTCAAAAAAAAAAAATTTTTTTTTGTTACATAATTGAAGCTTTCTTGGTGATGATTGATTGCCTAGATTTATAAATTTACTAAAAAGTTGTCTCATCATGGTAGATATACGTTTTGTGACCATTGTAACCATTAATGTAGACTGCAATGATATGCACTATTTACAACCTTTTTTAAGACTCTATTTAGCAGTAGACTAATTACACAGTAGGTAATATTAGCATTCTAATGGTACTTTTTCAATGTTTTGTTCTTTTTATGATACAAAGTATTTCAGGGGATTTATTATTTCAAAGACTTCATTATGTGAAGCTCATTCATAATATTCTTCAAATTCTTCTTATTACTAGTTTTTCCCTGAATTCTGAGCACCGACAATATGCTAGAACATTCACCTTTTCACACATCCACAAGATGTGTGCTTTGCATATCGTTTTCATTTAATATTTACATTTCAAGCAATAATCAGCTACCTGTGAGTTTTGTCAAAATTATCAGGGGTTTTTTGTTTGTTTGTTTTTTGACATGGAGTTTTGCTCTTGTTGCCCAGGCTGGAGTGCAATGGCGCCATCTCAGCTCACTGCAACCTCCACCTCCTGGGTTCAAATGATTATCCTGCCTCAGCCTCCCCAGTAGCTAGGATTACAGGCATGCACCACCACACCTGGCTAATTTTATATTTTTAGTAGAGACAGGGTTTCTCCATGTTGGTCAGGCTGGTCTCGAACTCCCAACCTCAGGTGATTCACTCACCTTGAGCTCCCAAAGTGCTGGGATTACAGGCATGAGCCAATACACCTGGCCAATTATCAGGTTTTTAATTAAATTTTAGAAATGTGAATTATTGTTTCCTTTGAACTGAATCTTATGCAATACTGAAAGCATTCCCACCTGCCATAATCTTTGCATATCAGTTGTTCCAGGCTGTGATTCAATATTAATACCATTGGTTTCATGATTTGTCTCAGATTCAGAAGAGTCATGTTTACAGTATCTAAAAGCAATGTTTAAAATGTATGTAGGCCTGGCACTGTGGCTTATGCCTGTAATCCCAGCACTTTGGGAGGCTGAAGCTGATGGATCACCTGAGGTCAGGAGTTTGAAACCAGCTTGGCCAACATGACGAAACCCCATCTCTACTAAAAATACAAAAATCGGCTGGGCGCGGTGGCTCATGCCTGTAATCCCAGCACTTTGGGAGGCCAAGGCAGGTGGCTCACCTGAAGTCAGGAGTTCAAGACCAGCCTGACCAACATCGTGAAACTCCGTCTCCACTAAAATACAAAAAATTAGCCAGGCATGGTGGTACATGCCTGTAGTCCCAGCTACTTGGGAGGCTGAGGCAGGAGAATTGCTTGAACCCGGGAGGCAGAGGTTGCAGTGAGCTGAGATTTCGCCATTGCACTCCAGCCTGGGCAACAAAAGTGAAACTCTGTCTCAAAAAAAAAAAAAAAAAAAACCCTTCTGTCTCAAAAAAAAAAAAAACAAAAACCCTTCTGTCTCAAAAAAAATAAAATAAAACAAAAATATAAAAATTTGGTGGGTGTGGTGGCACACACCTGTAGTCCCAGCTACTCAGGAGACTGAGGCAGGAAGATCGCTTGAACCTGGGAGACAGAAGTTGCAGTGAGCCGAGATCACACCACTGCACTCCAGCCTGGGCAACAGAGTAAGACTCTTATCTCAGAAAATAAGTAAATAGATAAATAAATAAAATGTATTTAAACTTTGTCACTTCACTCTTACTGTTTACTATTCTAAGTTCTTGAATTTATAGATATCAAAACACTGCACAGTTATTATTTCCAGATGAATAATAACACAATAACAATAGAAACAAGGAAAAGCCAAACAAATATACTATTTATAAGTTACAGCATGTGAGGATAACAATTAACTGATGATTTTCCTAAACCACAAAACAATGAATGTACAATGGTGACATGGCTGAACCAGCCGGTGGTGCCATAAATGATTCTCAGATGCTGCAGTGCAGGAGACCCATCCATTGATGATCACTGTGATAGACTAAGACAAATAGTTAATTAGTTAATGAGATATTAGAATTTCTAGTACTTATTAATTTTACCACCTATCACGATAACCATTCTATTTTCTGTAACAATCAGTATTGGCTGTACTAGTGCACACTGGCTGGATGCCAGTGTGTAAGACAATGCCATAAAGGGCTATATGAGCATTAGCTACTATGCTATGACTTTTAACATTGAGTTGATTAGGTTCAAGGGTCAGGTGGGGCACTTTTAGAAATTACAGTAACAGAGGCCCTCAGGAGGTAGGATTCCCTTTTCTTTTTGGAGACAGAGTCTTACGCTGTCACCCAGGCTGGAGTGCAATGGCGGGATATCGGCTCACTGCAACCTCCGCCTCCCAAGTTCAAGCAATCCTCCCACCTCAGCCTCTTGAGTAGCAGGGATTACAGGCATCTGCCACCACGCCTGGCTAATTTTTGTATTTTTATTTTTATTTTTGTTTTGAGATGGAGTTTCATTCTTGTTGCCCAGGCTGGAGTGCAATAGCGCAATCTTGGTTCACCGCAACCTCCACCTCCGAGGTTCAAGCAATTCCTGCCTCAGCCTCCTAGGTAGCTGGGATTACAGGGATGTGCCACCACACCTCGCTAATTTTGTATTTTTAGTAGAGACGGGTTTTCTTTTTTTCTTTTTTTTTTTTTTTGGGATGGAGTCTGGCTCTGTCGCCCAGGCTGGAGTGCAGTGGCACAATCTCGTGAGGATGGCTCACTGCAAACTCCATCACCCGGGTTCAAGGGATTCTTCTGCCTCAGCCTCCCAAGTAGCTGAGATTACAGGCGTCTGCCACTGTGCCTGGCTAATTTTTATATTTTTGATAGAGACGGGGTTTCACCATGTTGGCCAGGCTGGTCTCAAACTCCTGACCTCAGGTGATCAGCCCACCTTGGCCTCCCAAAGGGCTGGGATTACAGGCGTGAGCCACCGTGCCCGGCCAAGGCAGGGTTTCTCCATGTTGGTCAGTCCGGTCTTGAACTCCCGACCTCAGGTGATCCACCCACCTCGGCCTCCCAAAGTGCTGGGATTACAGGTGTGAGCCACTGCGCCCGGCCTAATTTTTGTATTTTTAGTAGAGTAGAGCTGTGATCATGCCACTGTACTCTAGCCTGGGTGACAGAGTGAGATGAGACCCTGTCTCTTAAAAAAAAAAAAATGGCCAGGCGCCATGGCTTATGCCTGTAATCCCAACACTTTGGGAGGCTGAGGCAGGTGGATCACTTGAGGTCAGGAGTTTGAGACCAGCCTGGCCAACATAGTGAAACCCTGTCTCTACTAAAAATACAAAACTTGCCGGGCGTGGTAGAGGGCGTCAGTAATTCCAACTACTTGGGAGGATGAGGCAGGAGAATCGCTTGAAGCCAGGAGGCGGAGGTTGTAGTGAGCCAAGATCCCCCCATTGCACTCCAGCCTGGGCAACAGAGCAAGACTCCGTCTCAAAAAAAAAGAAAGAAAGAAAAGAAAAGAAAAGGAAATATGCAGTCTATTTAGGAAAGAATGCATGAGTTTGTTCATAAAGCATAACAGTGGGCGTGGGTAACCAATGAAGACTGCTCGGGATATCCATTAAGCACAAATTCCTGCGAAAATACATAAGACCACAGGCACCAGATTCCACAACAAAGTGTGTGTGTGTGTCGACATGCATGTGTGTGTGTGTGCACGCACATGCATGTGTGTGGGGGGTGTGCCTGTGTGTTTGTGTGCACATGGGTGTGTATGTGTGCTGGTGTGGAGAAAACCTGATTAATAATGTCCAAGCCACACTCCAAGACCTCTTCCACTCAGGCTGGGGTCCCAGGAGCAGATGGTGGGCAAAGGGCAGGAATAACCTGTGCCTCAAGCTGCAAACAGGATCCACAAAATAGCCAAAAGACAGTGTTCGGGGTGTAACTAAACTTATGAGGCAAAGAGGAGAGACTGGGAGAGGACTGAGAGGAAAACCAGGTGTGAGGCTGTCATGCAAAGCAGGTCCCTTGGGGTCACCACCTGTTGTTCACCAGGGCTCAGGATAAAAGCCAGAATATCGCATGCTATGGGTTAAGAAATAGGCTTTTGAGGGAATTTTCAATTCAGTGTCAGCAAGTAAAGAGAAAGCATGAGTCCAATTCCTTTTATTTTTCCATAGAAGAGCAAACCAGGCACACTACTGGACATGCAGGTGGAGGGGAGGGATGCGGCAGTGTGTTATTGCTCTCCATTATGAGTCAAGCATGAGAGCAGCCTTATCAATGAAGAGGCACACAAACAGCGTAGGCACCTAGCACTCTTGATTAGAGTGTCAGTTATTGACAGGTTGTGCTAACCTGACTTCTAAGATGGTCTCTAATGATCCCCCATCTTAGTATTCGAGTCTTTGTGGAATCCTTCCCACCTTGAGTTTGGTATGGACCTTGTCACTTAATTCTAACCAATGGAATATGACAAAGGTGAAAGTCTATCATATCCATGAGTAGACAATAAGAGTTTGTGGCTTTTATCTTGCTAGCAGACTCATTTACTGACTCAAGTAATCAAGCTGCCATGTTAAGGAGGTCCATGTGGTGAGGAACTGAGAGTGCTCTCAACTCAACATTCAAGAGGAACCAAACCTTCAGTCCTACCACCCTTCGTGCTTCCTACCAACAACTAAGTTAGTGAGCTTGGAAGCTCATCCTTTCCTAGTTGAGTCTTCAGGGAAGACCCCAACTATGATTGCAGCCTTGAGGGGCCCTGAAGAGAGGACCCAGCTATGCTGTATTGAATTGCTGTCCTTCAAATATTGTGAGATAATAAGGGTGTGTTGTTTTAAGCCACTTATTTTAGGACAATTTTTATGCTGTAATGATAACTAATATACAGGAGATGTTCAAAAATACAAGCTACCCAGGAACTGGAGACCTAGGGGCCCATGGCTAGTCACACGTCCCTCTGCCAGGAGTGAGAAAAACACCCCTGGTTCCACTGGATTCTAACTTTTGGAAACCCCACTCACTGGAAGAAGAGGGAGCCCCAGGTTCTAATGAGTTTGTTTTTCAGGCAACCCAGAATGACCTCCCAGCATCATTTCCAGACAGTGTGGCTCCTGACATCACAAATATAGTAGAATAACACCAAACTGAGTAAATAGGACAGTAGGCTGCAGACCCCCTCATGTGCCAATGATCTTTATAAAGACTTAAAACCTCACTATGCATAGAGTTGATAAAGGCACCAAATGAACCAGAGAAAGGAGACTCAAGTCAAGAAAATGTATCTCAACTAGGAAATGTTTTTGTGACCACAAAGGGGAGGAACCAGGAAGTTGTGGTAAACTGTAGCGGAAGTTAAAGCTAAAAAAAAAAATGAGAGAGAACCAGTGAATTTAAAAATACTTAACAGACATAATGACAAAAAGTAATAAGTACATCTCTTTGGATCATGAGAAAGAAGATCAGGAACGAAAGATCTAGCTGGGCCTTCCCCCACCCTCCCCAGCCTTGGTTCCCTGATTAGTGCTCCAGGCCTCTCCAGGGCCTGACACTCAATCTTCTCTTGGGAACTAATTATGGCAATGTACCACGAGGTACTGTTCCTCAGACTAAACGTGGTTTTTTGTTTGTTTGTTTGTTTTTTAGACAGGCTCTCACTCTGTCACCCAGGCTGGAGTGCAGTGGCACAATCTCAGCTCACTGCAACCTCTGCCTCCCCAGTTAAAGCAATTCTCCCACCCACTTCAGCCTCCCCAGTAGCTGGGACTACAGGTGCACGCCACCATGCCCTGCTTTATTTTTATTATTATTATTATTATTATTATTATTTGTATTTTTGGTAGAGACGAGGTTTCACCATGTTGGCCAGGCTGGTCTCAAACTCCTGGGCTCAAGTGGTCTGCCCACCTCAGATTCCCAAAGTGCTGGGATTACAGGCATGAGCCACTGTGCCCAGCGTAAACGTGGTTTCTTATGTTTTTAAATTCCCCTTGAAAATATTCTCTTGTGACCAAAAAAGACCCTTGGGTGTACAGAGAATAGGTTTTGTCATAACTGTAACTAATGTGAGCTTCCACTAAAAACCCAAGATACAAATATATTCACAACTTTATTTTTCCAGTGATCCATTCTAATACCTCTTGAGGCTTCCTGTGAAATGTCTAAGCACCCCACAGCCAAAGGGTACCCTCGTAGTCCCCTTCAGTGCTAAGAACAGAAAAGAAGCTGTTGCTTTTCTCTGCTATAGGTGTTGCTGTTGAAAATTCATCCCACACAATTGATGGAGATAATTTTCACTGCTTTAGTCACCTAAACAGGCCTTGCTGATCCACATTCCTGTTCAGATTACTAGGATTCTCTAAGGGAGGGATGATTGTTGAAGCTGAGTGATGGAAACACTTTGCTATTCTTTCTAATTTTTTATAAATTTTAAGTTTTCAATAATAAAAAGTTAAAAACCAAAAATTAAAAGAATCTGACAGGCCAGATATGGTGGTTCACGCCTGTAATACTAGCACTTTGGGAGGCTGAGGCAGGAGGATCGCTTGAGGCCAGGATTTCGAGGCTAGCCTGGGCAACATAGTGAGACACTATCTCTACACAAAAAAAATTTAAATTGAAAACAAAACGGCATTCCGGCTCCTTGGAGAAACGGTCGATTCTAGGACTGGGGCATCCTATGATGTCAGAAAGTATTTACATGCTCGATTAAAAGGTGAGAACCATATCAAAGGGACACAGGAGCCAACTGGAAATAATTCCAATAGTTAAAATGGAAACAATTTGAGCAACAAAATAAGTAATAATGGAATTGGATTATAACCCATAGAATAAAATAAGTATCCATTAGCCCATATTGATAAAAGAAATTCTTAAATAAATAAATGGGAAGATGTGGCAGTACTTTTTCACAGAAGAATTCATTAGCAAAGCCTAACGGTGTGGCTAGCCTGCGTCATGACAATGGTTGGGAGAAGCAGCAAAATAGCAGACTAGCCAGAAATTTAAAAGGGAAATCAAAGGAACAAAACAGACAAAGAATGCCTTAGTAAAATACCATTTAACTTTGGTAGTTTAAAAAGCTATGTGCAGCACACAGGGTTATAACTGCTTAGAAGAGAGACTTGAGAAGGCTATAGGAAGCTACTCCTCCCTGCAACTAAATATGAGGTCTCAGAAATAAAGAGAAAGCCATGGCTCACTTGTAAACTCTCTGAACTTTGAAAGTACCCTCCAAATCACACACAGCTCCAACAGCAGGGTTAGAAGCCTTACTGGCTTAAGGCATTTAAGCACAAACTCTAACAGATCACTGGCTGACCATTAAGCTATGCTGATCCAGGGGCAACCCCTAAGAATTCAGGCTTAAAAATAAACATAAGAATTAAAAAAGGACGGGAGGCTGAGGCAGGAGAATCGCTTGAACCCAGGAGGCAGAGGTTGCAGTGAGCCGAGATCACGCCGTTGCACTCTAGCCTGGGCAACAAGAGTGAAGCTCTGTCTCAAAAACAAAAAGGAACCTGAGCAGAAATATCTGAGCAGAAATATCTGAAGCCTCATACTGCATACTGCAAGGGAAAAGGACTCCACTGAATTAGTACAGGCAAGTCACTATAAAAATATCTGAACCCTCATACTGCAAGGGAAAGGGACTCCACAGAATTAGTACAGGCAAGTCACTATAAAAACAAACAAAACAACAACCACCTTCACCCCCAAGAGAAAGAAATTGGAATCCAGAGCTAGCATATATTGTCTAAAATTTTCAGTTTTCCAAAAAAGTTACAAAAGGGCAAAGAAATAGGAAAATGCAATCCATTTGCAGGGAGAAACAGTCAATAGAAATTGTCGGCCAGGCACGGTGGCTCATGCCTGTAATCCCTGCACTTTGGGAGGCTGAGGTGTGTGGATCATTTGAGGTCAGGAGTTCGAGACCAGCCTGGCCAACATGGTGAAATCTGTCTCAATAAAAATACAAAAATTAGCTGGGCATGGTGATGCACACCTGTAATCCCAGCTACTCGGGAGGCTGAGGCAGGAGAATTGCTTGAACCACGGAGTCAGAGGTTGCAATGAGCTAATATCATGCCACTATACTCCAGCCCTGGAAATGGAGTGAGACTCTGTCTCAAAAAAAAAAAAAAAATTGATTCACACCTAAACATTAATATATTATACTGAAACTATTACCAGCCAAAAATAGAAATGACATCTTAAAAGCAATGAGAAAAAACTCATCTCATACAAATACACTCATACACACAGACACAATAATCTTAATAGCTAACCTCATCAGTAACAATGGAGGTTAGAAGGCTGTAACATGGGCTGGGTGCCGTGGCTCATGTCTATAATCCCAGCACTTTGGGAGGCTGAGGCAGGCAGATCACGAGGTCAAGAGTTCAAGACCAGCCTGGCCAACATGGTGAAACCCCATCTCTACTAAGAATATAAAAATTAGCTGGGTGTGGTGGTACATGCCTGTAATCCCAGCTACTCGGGAGGCTGAGGCAGGAGAATTGCTTGAACCCGGGAGGCGGAGGCTGCAGTGAGCCAAGATTGTGCCACTGCACTCCAGCCTGGGCAACAGAGCAAGACTCTGTCTCAAAAAAAAAAAAAATTAAAGAAGACAGTAACATATGCAAATTTGGGGGTTAGTGGGGAGAAGCTAGCAATCAAGAATTTTACATCAAGAAAAATTATCCTTCAAAACTGAAGACCGGTACAGGGACAGTGGTTTGCACCCATAATCCCAGCACTTTGGGAGGCCAAGGTGGGAGGATCGCTTGAACCCAGGAGTTCAAGACCAGCCTGGGCAACAAAGTAAGACCCTGTCTCTGCAAAAAAAAAAAAAAAAAAAATTTAGCCATGTGTGGTAGTGCACACCTGTAGTCCTAGCTACTCAGGAGGCTGAGGCAGGAGGCTCTCTTAGGCCCGAGAGATTGAGGTTGCAATGAGACATGATCATGCCACTACACTCCGGCCTGGGCAACAGAGCGAGACCCTGTCTCCAAAACCAAAATTTATTCTAAAGAAAACAAAAAGAGAAGCCAACATGAACATATTCTTAGATAAACAAAGACTAGGGAGATTTATCTCTTGCAGATATGTCTTACAAGAAACACTAATGTAATACTAAAGTAAGTTCTTCAGACTGAGAAGAAATGACACCAGATAATAATCCCAATCCAATGAAAAACAATTATTGTATGTCAATTAAAGATAAAACTTGTAGCTAGGCACAGTGGCGCACACCTGTAATCCCAGCTACTTGGGAGGCTGAGGCACAAGAATCACTTGAACCCAGCAGGTGGAGTCTGCAGTGAGCCAAGATCACACCACTGTAGTCCAGCCTGGGCAACAGAGCAAGACTCCATCTCAAAAATATTACATTAAAAAAAGTAAAATTTGTAAAAGAAACAAACAGCATCAGAAAAAATAATATGTTGGTAATTATTTTTTAAAAACTAAAAACTAAAAACTACAAATCTCTTTTTTTTCTTTTTCTTTTTTGAGAGACAAGGTCTCACTCTCTCACCCAGGATGGAGTGCAGTGGTTTGACCATCGCTCACTGCAGCCTCAAATCCTGGACTCAAGTGATCCCCTCACCTCAGCCTCCTCCTGAGTAGCTGGGACTACAGATGCACACCGCCATGCCTGGCTCCTTTTCATTTCTTAACTGTTTTAAAAGAAATTACATAAAACAACAATTATAAAATTACAGTGTTGGGTTTGTAACATCTAAAGATAATGTGTGTGTATATATGCACTCACACACATATGACAATAATGGTACAAAGGATAGGGAAAAGATGGAGTTACATTGAAACAAAGGAACCACATCAGATTGTAAGTCCAATCCACAAGAACAAATCATCAGAAACACTAAATAAGTTTCATACGAAAAACTTTAAGTGTATTTTACTAATTTCTTCTCTTAATTTTTTAAAAGACGTAGAATTTGGCTGGGCACAGTGGCTGACGCCTGTATTCCCAGCACTTTGGGAGGCCGAGGTGGGTGGATCACCTGAGTTCAGGAGTTCCAGACCAGCCTGGGAAACAGGGCAAAACCCCGTCTCTACTAAAAATACAAAAATTAGCTGGGCATGGTTGTGCTCACCTGAAATCCCAGTTACTCAGGAGGCTGAGTTGGGAGGATCTCTTGAGCCTAGAAAGCAGACGTTGCAGTGAGCCGAGATCATGCCACTTCACTCCAGCCTGGAGTACATCCCTACACCCCCTCAGGTTCAGTCTGAACTGAACAGGGGATACCTGTGAAAGGAAAATAAATCTTGGGGCCCGAAAATCACTAAGCTAAAGGGAAAAGTCAAGTTGGGAACTGCTGAGAGCAAACCTACGTCTCATTCTATTCGGTCACTCCTCTGCTTACTGAGATAAATGCTATCTGATTGCCTCCTTTGGAGAGGCTAATCAGAAACTCAAAAGAGGCCGGGCACAGTGGCTCACACCTGTAATCCTAGCACTTTGGGAGGCCGAGGCGGGTGGATCACCCGAGGCCAGGAGTTCGAGACCAGCCTGGCCAACATGGTGAAACCCCGTCTCTACTAAAAATACAAAAATTAGCTCAGCGTGGTGGCACATGCCTGTAATCCCAGCTATTCGGGAGGCTGAGGAATGAGAATCGCTTGAACCTGGGAGGTGGAGGTTACAACAAGCCAAGATCGCACCACTGCACTCCAGCCTGTGCAACAGGAGCGAGCCTCCATCTCAAAAAAAAAGAAACTCAAAAGAAAGTAACCATTTGTCTCTTATCTACCTATGACCTGGAAGCCCCCTCGCCACTTGGAGTTGTCCCACCATTGCTTCAAGTTGTCCCGCCTTTCCAGACCGAACCAATGTTAATCTTACATATGTTGATTGATGTCTCATGTCTCCCTAAAATGTATAAAACCAAGCTGTGCCCTGACAACTTGGGCACATGTCATCAGGACTTCCTAAGGCTGTGTCACCGACACACATCCTCAACCCTGACAACATAAACTTTCTAAATTAACTGAGACCTGTCTCAGATATTCAGGGTTCACACTCCCCTGGACCCCCTGACTTTCTTCAGGGCACTGGCCACTTTCTTGTCTGTCTTTGGACACTCTCCTCTAGAAGTCTTTGAAATTCTTGAGGCAGGAAGGACCAATTCCCAGCCCTGAATCTTGCATAAAGTGGGTCTTTTTTAAATGGAAATACGGCTACTCCTCAAAGGAAGGCTAGGAATTTTGCTCTGTGTGACCCTAGTCGTAGTTCTTCACAGAGGGCTCCATTTCACTTGCCTTTCCTTCTGCTTTTTTCTTCACTCGTTTCCCCACAGAGCAAGACAAAAGAAGCCGGCAAGGATGGCTCTGGTCAGGGTCTGCCTTCAGCCACCCAAATGGGATTGCAAAGAGGAGGACAGGGATGGAAAGGGGAAAGTTTGATTTGGTTTGGTTTGCTTAGTCTTTCTATTGGTACCACTTCCTTATCCCAACCTCATCATCTTCCCCGATCCCTACCAACCCACTGCAGGCATATGAGCCCTAAAATCTGGGAAAGGCTTTTTTCCCTAGGGGCCCTGGCCTCACAGACTTGCCCAGGGGGGTAAATTCTCAGTGGCTCAGTGGCACGTGCCTCACGTCCTCACCGGCAGCCTAGATAGATAGATAGATAGATAGATAGATAGATAGATAGATGATAGATAGATATATAGTTTTTTTTTTTTTTTTTTTTTTTTTGAGACGGAGTTTCGCTCTTGCCGCTGCCCAGGCTATAGTGCAATGGCGCCATCTCGGCTCACCGCAACTTCCGCCTCCCAGGTTCAAGCGATTCTCCTGCCTCAGCCTCCCGAGTAGCTTGTATTACAGGCATGCGCCACCACACCCAGCTAATTTTGTATTTTTAGTAGAGAGGGGGTTTCTCCATGTTGTTCAGGCTGGTCTCGAACTCCCAACCTCAGGTGATCCGCCTGTCTTGGCCTCTCAAGTGCTGGGATTACAGGGGTGAGCCACCGCGCCCAGCCGGGAGCCCCTATTTTAAGGACGCTATTGCTGTGGAGGAGTAACCCCACTTTTAGGAATCCTTTTCCGTGCGAAAGGCTGTTTGAGATCAGGCGCAACAACTTCTCCCGCTCAGGTTACCCTCAGAAAGGCTATGGACCCCGGACTCCGCCCCAGATTGCATAACAACTGAGGGGTGGGTCCCTATTTCCTCTCTGGGATCTGTAGCCAATCATTCACGACGTAAACAGAACGACCGAGTTTCTCTCAGCCGAGAACTGTGGCTGCCCCTCCGGTGAAAACAGAGGAAGTGGGAGCGGCAGGAAGCGCTTTGGGACCAGGGCGACCCCTGAAGCGTAGAGGAACCAGGTCACAAGCATACGTGAATGCTCACATTCCATAGTTATCAAATGTATTCAGGTTTAAATTTTACTTTTCTAGAAAAAATGTAAATAATCCGTTGAGAATATTTAATGAAAAATGTTGGTCGTATCTTTATCTGGTCTGCGGCTCTGTCCCTGTTTCCTGGATAGGAGACTACGTCTGTATCTTGTATCACAGGAGGCACCTTCTTCCTGTTTCCTGGCACAGACTTGTAAGTGAATTTCCTGCCCGCCTCCGCCCACAGCGTAAGCCGCGCTGGAACAGCTCACTTATTGCCCCAGATGTATGTGGAGTAACCGCCTTCAGTTTCCTGGTTCTGAGTTTCCGTGTTACTCAAGCAATGCTTCTGCTGAATTTGTCTTTTTTTTTTTTTTTTTGAGACAGAGTCTTGCTTTGTCGCCCAGACTGGAGTGCAATGGCGTGGTCTCGGCTCACTGCAGCCTCCACCTCCTGGGTTCAAGCGAGTCTCCTGCCTCAGCCTCCTGAGTGTGCAACTTATCTTTTTATTTTATTTATTTATAATTTTTTGGCTAATTTTGGCTATTTTGTGTCTGTGTGTGTATTTTTAGTAGACATGGGGTTTCACCATGTTGGGCAGGCTGGTCTCGAACTCCTGACCTCAGGTGATCCGCCCACCTCGGCCTCCCAAAGTGCTGGAATTACAGGCGTGAGCCACCGCACCTGGCCTATTTATTTATTTATTTATTTGTGACTGAGTCTCGCTCTGTCACCCAAGCTGGAATGCAATGGCGTGATCTCGGCTCACTGCTACCTCCACGCCCCAAGTTTAAGCAATTCTCCTGCCTCAGACTCCCGAGTAGCTGGGACTACAGGTGTGCACCACCACATCCAGCTAATTTTTTGTATTTTTAGTAGAGATGGGGTTTCACCATGTTGGTCAGGCTGGTCTCGAACTCCTGACCTCAAGCGATCCACCCACCTTGGCCTCCCAAAGTGTTGGGATACAGGCGTGAGCCACTGCACCTGGTTGAATTTCTCCTTTTAATTGGAGGTTTCATTTTATTTTTCTTTATTTATTTTTTTGAGACGAAGTTGCACTCTTGTTGCCCAGGCTAGAGTGCAGTGGCGCGATCTGGGTTCACTGCAACCTCTGCCTCCCAGATGCAAGTGATTCTCCTGCCTCAGCCTCCTGAGTAGCTGGGAATACAAGCACCCACCACCATGCCCAGCTAATTTTTGTACTTTTAGTAGAGACAAGGTTTTGCCATGTTGGCCAGGGTGGTCTCAAACTCCTGAGCTCGTGATCTGCCCACCTCAGCCTCCCAAAGTGCTGGGATTACAGGCGTGAGCCACCGTGCCTGGTCTCTTTCTTTATTTTTTATTTTATTTTTTGACACCAGATCTGCTCTGTTACTCAGGCTAGAGTGCAGTGGCATTGAGAGGTGACAACCTGCTAGCAGCCCTTGCTTGCTCTTGGCGCCTCCTCGGCCTCGGTGTCTGCTCTGGCCGGGCTCGAGGAGCCCTTCAGCCCACTGCTGTGCTGTGGGGGCCCCTCTCTGGGGCTGGCTGAGGCCGGAGCCGTCTCCCTCTGCTTGGGGGGAGGTGTGGAGGGAGAGACGCCAGTGGGAACAGGGGCTGCGCGTGGTGCTCCCGGGCCAGTGGTGTTCCGGGTGGGTGCGGGCTAGGCAGGCCCTGCACTGGGGGCAAGGTTGGCGTCGCCTGCTGGGCTTGATGGGGGGGTGGGGGAGGAGCGCCCTCTGGGCTGCCGGAGTGCCCCACTAGGCGCGGCAAAGTCCCAGGAGTGCCATTGAGAGGTGAAGCCAGCTGGGCTTCTGGGTCGGGTGGGGACTTGGAGAACTTTTGTGTCTAGCTAAAGGATTGTAAATGCACCAATCAGCACTCTGTGTCTAGCTAAAGGATTGTAAACGCACCAATCAGCACTCTGTGTCTAGGTAAAGGATTGTAAACGCACCAATCAGCACTCTGTGTCTAGCTAAAAGTTTGTAAATGCACCAATCACCACTCTGTGTCTAGCTAATCTGGTGGGGATTTAGAGAACTTTTGTGTCTAGCTAAAGGATTGTAAACTCACCAATCAGCACTCTGTGTCTAGCTAAAGGATTGTAAACACACCAATAAGCACTCTGTCAAAACGGACCAATCAGCTTTCTGTAAAATGAACCAATCAGCTCTCCGTAAAATGGACCAATCAGCTCTCTGTAAAATAGAACAATCAGCAGGATGTGGGTGGGGCCGGATGGGGGAATAAAAGCAGGCCACCCAAGCCAGCGGCGGCAACATGCTCGGGTCCTCTTCCACACTGTAAAAGCTGCTTTGTTCTTTTGCTTTTTGCAGTAAATCTTAGTGCTCCTCACTCTTTGCGTCTACGCTGCTTTTATGAACTGTTAACACTCACTGTGAAGGTCTGCAGCTTCACTCCTTAAGCCAGCGAGACCACAAACCCACTGGGAGGGATAAACAACTCCAGACGGGAGGAACAAACAACTTCGGGTGCACCACCTTTATGAACTGTAGCACTCACTGCGAAGGTCTGCAGCTTCACTCCTGAGGCCAGCAAGACCACGAACCCACCAGAAGGAACGAACAACTCCAGATATGCCACCTTTAAGGGCTATAACACTCACCGCGGAAGTCTGCAGCTTCACTCCTGAAGTCAGTGAGACCATGAACCCACCAGAAGGAAGAAACTCTGGACACATCTGAACATCTGAAGGAACAAACTCTGGACACACCATCTTTAAGAACTGTAACACTCACCGCGAGGGTACACGGCTTCATTCTTGAAGTCAGCGAGACTAAGAACCCAACAATTCCGGACACAGCATGATCTTGGTTCACTACAACCTGGATCTCCCAGAGTCAAGCAATCCTCTCGTCTCAGTCTCCCAAGTAGCTGGAACTACAGGTGTGTGCCACCATGCCCCACTAATTTTTGTATTTATTGTAGAGACGGTTTCAGCATGTTGCCCAGGCTGGTCTCCAACTCCTGGACTCAAGTGATCCTCTCCACCTAGGCCTCCCACAGTGCTGGGATTACAGGAATGAGCCACCACGCCCGGCCTAATTGGAAGTTTTAGAGTGCAGTGGGGATCACGTGCGTAGAGGTTACTGCTGCCTTAATTAAAGGAGACAACATGTTTCATAAAACTTGGAAATTGTAGAGGGTGTGGGGAACCACTCAAATTCAGAATATCAAAACAGAACTTTATTTTTTGTGTATTTGTTGCCAATCTTTTTCCCTACATATGTAATGTTTGTTTGTTTGACATGACTACCATTTCTGTTTTCATAATATGTTTAATACTTTTCCTCCACTTAACAAACATGGCTACGATTTGCCAAGTTGCTGATCATCCTTTTTTTTTTTTTTCGAGACAGAGTTTCACCCTTGTTGCCCAGGCTGGAGTGCAGTGGCAGATCTCAGCTCACTACAACCTCTGCCTGCTGGGTTCAAGTGATTCTCCAGCCTCAGCCTCCCAAGTAGCTGGGATTACAGGTACCCGCCACCACTCCTGGCTAACTTTTGTATTTTTAGTAGAGACAGAGTTTTGTCAGGTTGGCCAGGCTGGTCTCAAACTCCTGACCTCCAGAGATCCACCCGCTTCAGCCTCCCAAAGTGCTGGGATAACAGGCGTGAGCCACTGAACCTGGCCCAGATCATCCTTTTAAGTGTTCTTTTTCATTTGTAGGTTTAACATTGGCTTTGGGGTGAGAAAGAAACCAAGACTCACCCAGAGTCATAAGCCCAACAAGAGAATGGGTCTGTCTGGGCTAGCCCTGGGCTACTGGATGAGCAGGGTTGGCCTTTTCATTCTCTGAGTCTTCGTTTCTCTGGCCTTTACATTTCTCTGGAGGGACTTTTCATTTTCTCTGGAAACCAACTCCAAGTGCACTTTTCCAGAAGGCATTTTTGTAATGCCTGGTTGGCTGCATGCGACCTCTGGTTTTCCTCCTTCACCCTTTCCTGCTCAGTCACTGCATTTTCTGTTCTCAAAAGAACCCTCTCATATAGCACGTGCAGAGAGCAGTAGCGAGTCAGGCTGTCCCGCGGTGTGTGTCCGGACTCCTGTGTGCTCTGGCAGTGGGGCCAGTGGGCTGGGAAGAGTTGCAGGAGAAACCCAGTGGGAGAGAAAGACTCCAACCTGGGAACCTCGGGGCATCTGGTAGCGCCAGAATGACTTTCCAAAATTTTGGTTGGGGCAGTCACAGGCCCCTGCTCGCCACGGTGGCCTCTGGCAAAGAAACACATGTGGGGCAGACAAGAGGGATGCTCGCCAATCTCCTCTGAATTTTGCAACCCTGTGTGTTAAAAACAGGTATTTCTGGTCTTTAAAGACACTTGGAAAAGACAGACTTGTTGAATACTTAGAAAGGCCAAGCCACAGCCAGAAGCTTGGTGTCTGGGATCCATCATCTCTAAGGTTTTAAAAGCATCTTGCTGGAATAGGAACAGCTCCGGTCTGCAGCTCTCAGCAAGACCAACACAGAAGATGGGTGATTTCTGCATTTCCAGCTGAGGTACCTGGTTCATCTCATTGGGACTAGTTGGACAGTGGGTGCAGCCCATGGAGGGCGAGCCAAAGCAGGGCAGGGCATCGCCTCACCTGGGAAGTGCAAGGGGTCAGGGGATTTCCCTTTCCTAGCCAAGGGAAGCCGTGACAGACTGTACCTGGAGGAACAGTACACTCCTGCCCAAATACTGGGCTTTTCCCATGGTCTTCACAACTGACAGACCAGGAGATTCCCTCCCGTGCCTGGCTCGGTGGGGCTCATGCCCATGGATCCTTGCTTACTGCCAGTGCAGCAGTCTTAAGATTGGCCTGGCATGCTGCAGCTTGTTGGGGGGGTGGGAGGGCGTCCGCCATTCCTGAGGCTTGAGTAGGCAGTTTTATGCTCACAGTGTAAACAGGCCGGGAAGCTTGAACTGGGTGGAGCCCACTGCAGCTCAGCAAGGCCTACTGCCTCTCTAGATTCCACCTCTGTGGGCAGGGCATGTCAGAACAAAAGGCAGCAGACAGCTTTGGCAGACCTAAACGCCCCTGTCTGACAGTTCTGAAGAGAGCAGTGGTTCTCCCAGCATGGCATTTGAGCTCCGAAAATGGACAGACTGCCTCCTCAAGTCGGTCCTTGACCCCCGTGTACCCTGACTGGGAGACACCTCCCAGTAGGGGCCAACAGACACCTCACACAGGCAGGTGCACCTCTGGAACAAAGCTTCCAGAGGAAGGATCAGGCAGCAATATTTGCTGTTCTGCAGCCTCCGCTAGTGATATCCAGGCAAACAGGGTCTGGAGTGGACCTCCAGCAAATTCCAACAGACCTGCAGCTGAGGGTCCTGACTGTTAGAAGGAAAACTAACAAACAGAAAGGAATAGCATCAACACCAACAAAAAGGACATCCACACCAAAACCCCATCTGTAGGTCACCAACATCAAAGACCAAAGGTAGAAAAAACCACAAAGATGGGAAGAAACCAGAGCAGAAAAGCTGAAAATTCCAAAAACCAGATTGCCTCTTCTCCTCCAAAGGATCACAGCTCCTCACCAGCAAGGGAACAAAACTGGATGGAGAATGAGTTTGACAAGTTGACAGAAGTAGGCTTCAGAAGGTTGGTAACAAACTTCTCCGAGCTAAAGGAGGATGTTCAAACCCATCGCAAGGAAGCTGAAAACCTTGAAAAAAGGTTAGACAAATGGCTAACTAGAATAAACGGTATAGAGAAGACCTTAAATGACCTGATGGAGCTGAAACCCATGGCACGAGAACTACATGACTCATGCACAAGCTTCAGTAGCTGATTCAATCAAGTGGAAGAAAGGGTATCAGTGATTGAAGATCAACTCAATGAAATAGAGCAAGAAGACAAGATTAGAGAAAAAAGAATGAAAAGAAATGAACAAAGCCTCCAAGAAATATGGGACTATGTGAAAAGACCAAATCTACATTTGACTGGTGTACCTGAAAGTGACGGGGAGAATGGAACCAAGTTACAAAATACTCTTCAGGATGTTATCCAGGAGAACTTCCCTAACCTAGCAAGGCAGGAAAACATTCAAATTTAGGAAATACAAAGAACACCACAAAGATACTTCTTAAGAAGAGCAACTCCAAGACACACAATTGTCAGATTCACCAAGGATGAAATGAAGGAAAAAATGTTAAGGGCAGCCAGAGAGAAAGGTCGGGTCACCCACAAAGGGGAGCCCATCAGACTAACAGCAGATCTCTCAGCAGAAACCTTACAAGCCAGAAGAGAGTGGGGGCCAATATTCAACATTTTTAAGAAAAGAATTTTCAAACCAGAATTTCATATCCAGCCAAACTAAGCTTCATAAGTGAAGGAGAAATAAAATCCTTTACAGACAAGCAAATGTTGAGAGATTTTGTCACCACCAGGCCTGCTTTACAAGAGCTCCTGAAGGAAGCACTAACCATGGAAAGGAACAACTGGTATCAGCCACTGCCACTGCAAAAACATGCCAAAGTGTAAAGACCATTGACACTATGAAGAAACTGCATCAATTAATGGGCAAAATAACCAGCTAACATCATAGTGACAGGATCAAATTCACCCATAACAATATTAATCTTAAATGTAAATAGGCTAAATGCCCCAACTGAAAAACAGACTGACAAATTGGATAAAAAGTCAAGACCCATCGTTGTACTGTATTCAGGAGACCCATTTCATGTGCAAAGATACAAATAGGCTCAAAATAAAGGGATGGAGGAAGATCTACCGAGCAAATGGAAAGCAAAAAAAAAATCAGGGGTTGCAATCCTCGTTTCTGACTAAAAAAAAAAAAAAAGATTTCAAACCAACAAAGATCAAAAGAGAGAAAGAAGGGCATTACATAATGGTAAAGGGATCAATTCAATAAGAAGAACTAACTATCCTAAATACATATGCACCCCAAACAGGAGCACCCAGATTCATAAAGCAAGTCCTTAGAGACCTACAAAGAGATTTAGACTCCCACACAGTAATAATGGGAGACTTTAATACCCCACTGTCAATATTAGACAGATCAATGAGACAGAAGGTTAACAAGCATATCCAGGACTTGAACTCAGCTCTGGACCAAGGGGACCGAATAGACATCTACAGAACTCTCCACCCCAAATCAACAGAATATACATTCTTCTCAGCACCACATCGCGCTTATTCTAAAATTGACCACATAATTGGAAGTAAAACACTCCTCAGCAAATATAAAAGAACAGAAATCACAACAAACTGTCTGTCAGACCACAGTGCAATCAAATTAGAACTCAGGATTAAGATTCACTCAAAACTGCACAACTACATGGAAATTGAACTACCTGCTCCTGAATGACTACTGGGTAAATAATGAAATGAAGGCAGAAATAAAGATGTTGTTTGAAACCAATGAGAACAAAGACACAACATACCAGAATCTCTGGGACACATTTAAAGCAGTGTGTAGAGGGAAATTTAGAGCACTAAATGCCCACAAGAGAAAGCAGGAAAGATCTAAAATCAACACCCTAACATCACAATTAAAAGAACTAGAGAAGCAAGAGCAAACACATTCAAAAGCTAGCAGAAGGCAAGAAATTACTAAGATCAGAGCAGAACTGATGGAGATAGAGACACAAAAAACCCTTCCAAAAAATCAGTGAATCTAGGAGCTGGTTTTTTGAAAAGATCAACAAAATTGATAGACTGCTAGCAAGACTAATAAAGAAGAAAAGAGAGAAGAATCAAATAGACACAATAAAAAATGATAAAGGGGACATCACCACCAATCCCTCAGAAATACAAACTACCATCAGGAATACTATAAACACCTCTACACGAATAAACTAGAAAATCTAGAAGAAATGAATAAATTCCTGGACACATACACCCTCCCAAGACTAAACCAGGAAGAAGTTGAATCCCTGAATAGACCAATAACAGGCTCTGAAATTGAGGCAATAATTAATAGCCTACCAACCAAAAAAAGTCCAGGACCAGACGGATTCACAGCCAAATTCTACTGGAGGTACAAAGAGGAGTTGGTACCATTCCTTCGGAAACTATTCCAATCAATAGAAAAAGAGAGAATCCTCCCTAACTCATTTCATGAGAACAGCATCATCCTGATACCAAAGCCTGGCAGAGACACAACAAAAAAAGAAAATTTAAGCCAATATCCCTGATGAACATCAATGCAAAAATCCTCAATAAAATACTGGCAAACGAAATCCAGCAGCACATCAAAAAGCTTATCCACCATGATCAAGCCGGCTTCATCCCTGGGATTCAAGGCTGGTTCAACATATGCAAATCAATAAATGTAATCCATCACATAAACAGAACCAACGACAAAAACCACATGATTATCTCAATAGATGTAGAAAAGGCCTTCGACAAAAATTCAACAACCCTTCATGCTAAAAACTCTCAATAAACTATGTATTGATGACGTATTTCAAAATAATAAGAGCTATTTATGACAAACCCACAGTCAATATCATACTGAATGGGCAAAAACTGGAAGCATTCCCTTTGAAAATTGGCACAAGACAAGGTTGCCCTCTCTCACCACTCCTAGTCAACATAGTGGTGGAAGTTCTGGCCAGGGCAATCAAGCAAGAGAAAGAAATAAAGGGTATTCAATTAGGAAAAGAGGAAGTCAAATTGTCTCTGTTTGCAGATGACATGACTGTATATTTAGAAAACACCATCATCTCAGCCCAAAATCTCCTTAAGCTGATAAGCAACTTCAGCAAAGTCTCAGGACACAAAATCATTGCACAAAAATCACAAGTATTCCTATATACCAATAACAGACAAACAGAGAGCCAAATCATGAATGGACTCCCATTCACAATTACTACAAAGAAAATAAAATACCTAGGAATCCAACTTACAAGGGATGTGAAGGACCTCTTCAAGGAGAACTACAAACCACTGCTCAACAAAATAAAAGAGGACAAACAAACGGAAGAACATTCTATGCTCATGGATAGGAAGAATCAATATCGTGAAAATGGCCATACTGCCCAAGGTAATTTATAGATTCAATGCCATCCCCATCAAGCTACCAATGACTTTCTTCACAGAATTGGAAAAAACTACTTTAAAGTTCATATGGAACAAAAAAAGAGCCCACATTGCCAAGACAATCCTAAGCAAAAAGAACAAAGCTGGAGGCAGCACGCTACCTGACTTCAAACTATAGTACAAGACTACAGTAACCAAAACAGCATGGTAGTGGTACCAAAACAGATATATAGACAAATGGAACAGAACAGAGGCCGCAGAAATAACACCACACATCTACAACCATCTGATCTTTGACAAACCTGATAAAAACAAGCATGGGGAAAGGATTTCCTGTTTAATAAATGGTGCTGGGAAAACTGGCTAGCCATATGTAGAAAGCTGAAACAGGATCCCTTCCTTACACTTTATACAAAAATTAACTCAAGATGTATTAAAGACTTAAACATAAGACCTAAAACCATAAAAACCCTAGAAGAAAACCTAGGCAATACCATTCAGGACATAGGCATGGATAAATGCTTCATGACTAAAACACCAAAAGCAATGGCAACAAAAGCCAAAATAGACAAATGGGATCTAATTAAACTAAAGAGCTTCTGCACAGCAAAAGAAACTATCATCACAGTGAACAGGCAACCTACAGAATGGGGAAAAATTTTGCAATCTACCCATCTGGCAAAGGGCTAATATCCAGAAGCTACAAAGAACTTAAACAAATTTACAACAAAAAAATCAAACAACCCCATCAACAAGTGGGCGAAGGATATGAACAGACACTTCTCAAAAGAAGACATTTATGCAGCCAAAAGACATATGAAAAAATGCTCATCATCACTGGTCACCAGAGAAATGCAAATCAAAACCACAATGAGATGCCATCTCACGCCAGTTAGAATGGTGATCATTAAAAAGTCAGGAAACAACAGATGCTGGAGAGGATGTGGAGAAATAAGAACACTTTTACACTGTTGGTGGGAGTGTAAATCAGTTCAACCATTGTGGAAGACAATGCAGCGATTCCTCAAGGATCTAGAACTAGAAATACCATTTGACCCAGCCATCCCATTACTGGGTATATACCCAAAGGATTATAAATCATGATAAGGACACATGCACATGTATGTTTATTGCGGCACTAGTCACAGTAGCAAAGACTTGGAACCAACCCAGATGTCCATCAATGATAGACTGGATTAAGAAAATGTGGCACATATACACCGTGGAATACTATGCAGCCATAAAAAAGGATGAGTTCATGTCCTTTGCAGGGACATGGATGAAGCTGGAAACCATCATTCTCAGCAAACTATCACAAGGACAGAAAACCAAACACTACATGTTCTCACTCATAAGTGGGAGTTGAACAATGAGAATACACAGACACAGGGCAGGGAACATCACACACCGAGGCCTGTGGGGGGGTTGGGGGTTAGGGAAGGGATAGCATTAGGAGAACTACCTAATGTAAATCACGAGTTGATGGGTGCAGCAAACCACCATGGCACAGGTATACCTATGTAACAAACATGCATGTTGTGCACATGTACCCCAGATCTTAAAGTATAATAAAATAAAAAATAAAAAAAATCTTCCCTACTTTTTAAACTGTATGTTGCTTTGTAGCAATACATTATGCACATTATAAAGTGTTTTAATTAGAAATTTTAGAAGATATGATAAAGAAAAATAATTTAAATAACAATTTTTATTCAAAATACAAATAATAGGGCTGGGCGCGGTGGCTGACGCCTGTAATCCTAGCACTTTGGCAGGCCGAGGCGGGCAGATCACGAGGTCAGGAGTTCAAGACCAGCCTGGCCAACATGGTGAAACCCTGTCTCTACTAAAAATACAAAAAATTAGCTGGGCGTAGTGGCGGGTGCCTGTAATCCCAGCTACTCGGGAGACTAAGGCACAAGAATCGCTTGAACCCGGGAGGCGGAGGTTGCAGTGAGCCGAGATCGCACCACTGCACTCCAGCCTAGGCGACAGAGTGAGACTGTGTCTCAAAAAAGAAAAAAAAAGAAAAGAAAAGAAAAAGAAAAAAGAATATTTTGCCCTTATAACATTATTAATTATATACTTTCAAGTGAGAGCAATATGACTAATTATGCTTAATTATTTTTGAAAATGATGCTTTAACAATTTGTAATGCAGACATTTGATGGTCTGGTTCTATGTTGAGTTCATGTTGATACTTGGTCTTAAGGACAGTTAGAGCTGATAAAAATAACTTGTGCATAGACCAGGCGCGGTGGCTCACGCCTGTAATACCAGCACTTTGGGAGTCTGAGGCGGGCGGATCACGAGATCAGGAGATGGAGACCATCCTGGCTAACACGGTGAAGCCCCGTCTCTATTAAAAATACAAAAAAAATTAGCCAGGTGCGGTGGCAGGCACCTGTAGTCCCAGCTACTTGGAAGGCTGAGGCAGGAGAATGGTGTGAACCTTGCAGTGAGCCGAGATCACGCCACTGCACTACAGCCTGGGCAACAGAGCGAAACCCCGTCTCAAAAAAAAAAAAAAAAAGAAAAAAAAAAAGAAATAACTTCTGCACACATCATAACGTTCATACATAATGAATCATTGATATACTCATTAAAATGTGACTCATCCAGGAAAATCCCATCCCTAAATTATTTAAAGTTTTTGTTTTCCCTCAGCTACTATATTTCTGTTCTACCTTATGCAAACTAATGAGAAACCATTGTCCCAAGACTGGTGGCCTCCTGGCATGGTTGTGCAACAGCTGTTGTCAAACTCCAGAGTCTAAAGTGCACCACGAAAGCCAGATGGCAGGCCAGATCCAGCCTCCCTGCTAAATGAAATGTTCACTGGCCAGGGAGAAACAACCACGTGGAAAATTAAATAAACCCATGACATTTGTAGCCAGCAGCTCGGGTGTTTTGTAGGGTTTTCCCTGAGAAGTGGGGACTAATCGCATGAATCACTTTTTTTTTCTTTTTAGAGTCTTATCTATTTGTGAGTAAATGTTTCCAATTAAAGCATTGCTACTAAGCCTCAGTTTTCTCACCTCTACCATGGAGTTAAAATGTCTACTTCACACTGTCCATAAAAGAATTAAGATGGCCGGGCGCGGTGGCTCACGCCTGTAATCCCAGCACTTTGGGAGGCCGAGGCGGACGGATCACGAGGTCAGGAGATCGAGACCATCCTGGCTAACACAGTGAAACCCCGTCTCTACTAAAAATATGAAAAAC
This sequence comes from Homo sapiens, assembly GCF_000001405.40. Classification (NCBI taxonomy): domain Eukaryota; kingdom Metazoa; phylum Chordata; class Mammalia; order Primates; family Hominidae; genus Homo; species Homo sapiens. Next base: position 1,784,445 of record NT_167245.2, read on the forward strand.
TAGCCTGGCGTGGTGGTGGACGCCTGTAGTCCCAGCTACTCAGGAGGCTAAGGCAGGAGAATGGCGTGAACCCAGGAGGCGGAGCTTGCAGTGAGCCTAGATTGTGCCACTGCACTCCAGCCTGGGCGACAGAGCAAGACTCCGTCTCAAAAAAAAAAAAAAAAAAAAAAAAAAAAAAAAAGCCAGGCATGGTTGGTGGCTCACACCTGTAATCTCAGAACTTTGGGAAACAGGCAGGATCACTTCAGCCCAGAAGTGTGGGACCAGTCTGGGCAACATAGTGAGATCCTGTCTCTTAAAAAAAAAAGAAAAGAATCAAAATAAAACAAGAAAACAAAAACACAGAACAAGTGCATCATCATAGTGGTGACAATTTTTAGGAAACTTTTTTTGTTTTTTTCTGTGTGAACCTAACTGATCTAATAAGGGAGTGTGTGAACATTTCCATGTTGGTCCATTTTTTATGTGCCTAAATGGACAAATTCACCCAGGACCTGGCTGCTGGACTCATCCTTAGGAAGAATAAAGAAAAAGGAAGTTTATCTCTAGCATCTTTCTCTTGCCCTTGTTTTCTTCCTGGCCACAGTCATGCCCTGGATTTCAGTGTCTCTAAACATCTAGCAGCCTCTCACCCAGCATAACCCCTGTTGAGGTCCAGGGCACGATGGTGGGAGTGGGTGCAGAAGAGACAGAGAGACCACTGGTTTGAGTGTCTAGGGTTTGGGTCCTCAGGAAGAACTTGGCCCGGCGCGGTGGCTCACGCCCGTAATCCAAGCACTTCGGAGACCGAGGCGGTTGGATCACCTGAGGTCAGGAGTTTGAGACCAGCCTGGCCAACATGGTGAAACAACGTCTCTACTAAAAATACAAAAAATTAGCCAGGCGTGGTGGCAGGCACCTGTAATCCCAGCTACTCAGGAGCTTGAGGCAGGAGAATCACCTGAACTCGGGCCGCGGAGGTTGCAGTGAGCCGAGATTGCGCCAGTGCACTCCACCCTGGGCAACAAGAGTGAAACTCCGTCTCAAAAAAAGAAAAAAAAAGAAGAACTTCTTGACTTGACTCAGCAGGACTTTTTCCATGGGTCTAGAGCTAGGTGTGAAGAGAGTGAGCTCGTGGTGAGAGGAACTTGTTCATCAAAAGGAGTCCATGCCCAGTGGCAGAAGTGGAGAGGTGGGTATGGGACACACAGGGAAGCTGCTCTCTTCTGTTGTCTGTGGCTTCTGTTGGAGGATGTGCTGTGGGAATGCAAGGAGGAGATGGAAGGAAGGTGTCAATATAGCTTTAACAAAGGAAAAAAAAATGAAAACACCGAAACCACCCTTGCAAAAATTGTAACAGTGAGAAAATTATGACATTGAAAGATATCCAATCTAACCCAACTCCTTCTTGCCTTTAACCTCCAAATTGCACTTAGTCATTCCTGAGCAAAGGCCAAGCTAACTTTGGGAGAAATTTCGTTTACAGTTTAAATGATAATAGCCCTTCCCAAAACTAACCTGTCTTTGTAAAAATGATGAAAGGCCACCAGGTTAGGGAGGATGAGAGGGGCCTGAATGCAGGCTTAGATAAACAATTACCCGCCATTGTTTCAGAGGTCACAAGATTTGTAACTTCCCCAATTAGTCCTGTAAAATGATATCACTGTGGCCTTTTGAGATGTCTTTGCAGTTATTTTTTGTTTTGTTTGCTTTGAGACAAGGTCTTGCTCTGTCACCAAGGCTGGAGTGCAGTGATCATAGCTCACTGCAGTCTCTATCTCCTGGGCTCAAGTGAACCTTCCACCTCAGCCTTCCAAGTAGCTGGGACTGCAGGTGCATGCCACCATGCCTGGCCAGTTTTGTTGTTTTTTGGTTCTGGGGTGTTTTTTGCTTGTTTGTTTGTTTTGTTTTTGTATTTTTAGTAGACATGATGTCTGGCTCTGTTGTTCAGGCTGGTCTCAAACTCCTGGACTCAAGCGATCCTCCTGCCTCAGCCTCCCAAACTGCTGGGGTTACAGGCACGAGCCACCTTGCCCAGCTCAGGCTTTTCCATTTTGGAAAACCAGATGACTCCACCCAGATCCAAGACCGGTCCTATGGCCCCACTCAGAAGTGGACTCAGTGCACGAGGACCATTTTCCACATCCCTATGATTGCATCCCAATCAATCAGCAGCACCCATTCCCTAGCCACCTGCCCAGCAAACTATCTTTTTTTTTCTTTTTTTCTTGAGACTCTGTCGCCCAGGCTGTAGTGCAGTGGTGCAATCATGGCTCACAGCAGCTTCAACCTCCCTGGCCCAGCCTCCCAAGTCACTGGGACTACAGGTGTACACCACCACACCTGGCTAATTTTTAAATTTTTTGTAGAGATGGTGTCTTGCTGTGTTGTCCAGGCTGATCTCAAACTCAAGGACTCAAGCAATCCTCCTACCTCAGACTCGAAAAGTGCTGGGATTACAGGTGTAAGCTGCCATGCCCAACCCAAACTATCTTGAAAAAGCCTTCAAATTTGAGAGGAGGCTGATATAAGTAATAATAAGACTTCAGTCTCCTGTTTAACTGGCTCTATGTATATAAAACTCTTTCTCTATTGCAATTCCCCTGTCTTCATAAATTGGCTCTATCTGAGCAGCAGGCAAAATGAACCAATTGGGTGGTTACAACAGTATCAGCATATACAGTAGAATTGTAATATCCATCATATACCAACTGCAAATTAATTTTAAAAGATATATTGTTAAAAGCATATAAGTGATATAAGTAATTTACAGAAGAATAAATTCAATTGAACAATAAATATGAAATTATTTTCAACCCCTCCAGTCATATAGTAAAAGTAAATTAAAACTTTTTTTTTTTTTAGACAGAGTCTCACTCTGTCGCCCAGGGTGGAGTGCAGTGGCGCGATCTCAGCCCACCGAAACCTCTGCCTCCTGGGTTCAAGCGATTCTCCTGCCTCAGCCTCCTGAGTAGCTGGGATTACAGGCGCCCGCCACCATGCCCGGCTAATTTTTGTATTTTTAGTAGAGACGAGGTTCCACCATGTTGGCCAGGCTGGTCTCGAACTCCTGATCTCAAGTGATCCATCAACCTTGGCCTCCCAAAATGCTGGGATTACAGGCATGAGCCACTGCACCCAGCTTAAAACAATGTTTTAACCTCTTGTTGATAAGAGTGTAAACTTATCACCTTTGGGGGAAGTAATTTAGTACCTATTAATATTAAACATTTTCATAACCTTTGATTTAGCATTTCCACTTAAATTAGTGCCTTAGTTAGTTTGGGCTGCTATAACAACACCACAGCCTGGATGGCTTATAGACAACAGAGGTTTATTTTTCACAGTTCTTGGGGCTGGGAAGTTCAGGTATCAAGGCACTGGCAGTTAAGGTGCTTGGTGAAGGTCCTTTTTCTGTTCCCAGTTCACAGATGTCCCACCTTCATTTTCTTTCTTTTCCTTCTTTTTCTTTCTTTCTTTTTCTCTTTCTCTTTCTTTCTTTCTCTCTGTCTTTCTTCCTTCTTTCTTCTTTCTTTCTTTTTTTTTTTTTTTTTTAACAGATGAGGGTTTTCTCTGTCACCCAGGTGGCTGGAGTGCAATGGTGTAAGCTTGGCTCACTGCAGCCTCAACCTCCTGGGCTCAACTGATCTTCCCACCTCAGCCGCCCGAGTAGCTGGGACTACAGGTGCATGCCACCAGGCCCAGCTAAATTTTTGTAATTTTGTAGAGACGAGGTCTCATTATGTTGCCCAGGCTGGTCTTGAACTCCTGGGCTGAAGCAGTCCTCCCACCTCGGCCTCCCAGATGCTGGGATTACAGACGTGAGCCACCACACCCGGCCCATCCCACCGCCTTGCTGTGGCAGGGAGAGCAATAGCCTCTCTTCATCTCTTTATAAGGGCACCAATCCCATTATGCCCCCATGACTTTATCCAAACCTCATTATAGCCCAGGCCCCACCTCCAAAGACTATCACATTGGGAATTAGAGAGCTTCAACATACAGTTTGAGGGGACTACAAACATTCCATTCATGGCAACTAGGAATTTATAGAAACACTCCCTCTAGTGTGCAAAAAAGTAAGTACAAGAATTTTTGGGGTTTTTTTGTTTTTTGTTTTGTTTTGTTTTGTTTTGTTTTCTGAGACAGGGTCTTGCTGTCACCCAGGCATGGTACAGTAGCATAATCACAGCTCATTGAAGCCTCAACTTCCCAGGCTCAAGCAATCCTCCCCGCTCAGCTTCCCGAATAGCTAGGACTATAGGCATACACCACCACACCCAGCTAATTTTTTTTTTTTTTTTTTGAGATGGAGTCTCGCTCTGTCACCCAGGCTGGAGTGCAATGGCACGATCTCAGCTCATGGCAACCTCCGCCTCCTGGATTCAAGCAGTTCTCCTGCCTCAGCCTCCTGAGTAGCTGGGACTACAGGCGCATGCCACCACACCCAGCTAATTTTCATACTTTTAGAAGAGACAGGGTTTCACCATGTTGGCCAGGCTGGTCTCGAACTCCTGACCTCGTGATCCACCTGCCTCAGCCTCCCAAAGTGCTGGGATTACAGGTGTGAGCCACCGCGCCCAGCCTAATTTTTGTATTTTTTGTAGAGATAGGGTTTCACCATGTTGCCCAGGCTGGTTTCCAATATCTGGGTTCAAGCAATCTGCCCGCCTCAGCCTCCCAAAGTGCTGGGATTAGAGATGTGAGCCACGGCACCCACCCAAGAATGTTTTTTTGAGGCATTATGTCTACTAGTGAATAATGGGGGGGGGCCGTGGGGGGAGTACCAGAATAGTTAAAGTAGGCTGTGTATATACAATGAAATATCACAGTATCATTTTGTAAAGATCTATATGTATTGACATGGGAAAATGAGCACATCATAAATAAATAATAAAAGTTGCAGAACAATATAAACTGGAAGAAACATTTTTTTCAATCTTCCCCTCCATCCATCTTTGCTGATATATAAACAGGAAAAAGTTGGGGGAGAGAATACAGGAACACGGAACAAACAGTAAACAATGGTTATCTCATAGACGTGATTGGCGGCATTTTTGGTTTTGGTTTTCTTTTTGAGACAGAGTTTCGCTCTCTCACCCAGGCTGGAGTGAAGTGGCACGTTTTTGGCTCCCTGCAACCTCCGCCCCCCAGGTTCAAGCGATTCTCCTGCCTCAGCCTCCTAAGTAGCTGGGATTATAGGCACCTGCCACCATGCCCGGCTAATTTTTGTGTGTGTGTGTTTTTTTCAGTAGAGACGGAGTTTCACTATGTTGGCCAGGCTGGTCTTGAACTCCTGACCTCAGGTGATCTGCCCGCCTCGGCCTCCCAAAGTGCTACGATTACGGGCATGAGCCACTGCACCCTGCCATAGAGGGCATTTTTGCTTTCTGAGTTAGTCAGGGTTCTCCAGAGAAATAGAATATACATACATACGTACATACATACATACTTGCAGAGAGAGAAAGAGAGAGTGTGACTTATTTTAAGGAATTAGTTCACAAAATTGTGGAGGCTTGGTGAGTCCAAAGTCTGATAGGAGAGCCCAGCAGGCTGGAGACACAGGAAAGAGTTGCAGTTCAAGTCCAAAGGTGGTGTGCTGGAAACTTCTGACCAGAACAAAAGAGAGAGGACAGCCTTTTGTTCTAACCAGGTCTTCAACTGATTGGATGAAGCCCACCCTCATTACATTTAAAGTTCACCAATTTAAATGTAAATCTCATCCAAAAACACCTTCACAGAAACATCCAGAATAATGTTTGACTAAATATCTGGACACCATGGCCCAGACAAGTTGACACATAAAATTAAACATCGTAATGAGATCTGCTGCTATCTATGAATTTATGTTTCTAGTGTATTTGTAAGGTACATGGATCATTCCTTTATTTCTCTCTCTATATATATAGATATATATATACTTTTTATAATCATAAATATGTGTATGCATGCATATGTATGTATAAGAAAATATATATACATATAGACATAAAATTATGCATTTGTGCTAGGTACTTGTGATGGTTAATTTTATTTGTCAACTTGGCTAAGCCATGGTATTCAGATATTTGGTCAAACATTGTGGATGGTTTTGTGAGGGTATTTTGGATGTTTCAAATTGGTGCATTTTGAATAAAGCAGACTGCCCTCCACAATGTGAGTGGGCCTCATCCAATCATTCAAAGGCCTAAGACAAAAAGACTGAGGTCCCTGAGGAAGAGGGAATTCTGCCTCCACACCGCCTTTGGACCTGAGCTGTAACATCAACTCTTTGCTGCTGGCCTGCCTGCTCTGCAGATTTTGGATTTGCCAACCCCTATGATAGCATGAAACAGTTCTTTCATCTGATTGGTTCTAACTCTCTGGAACACCCTAACTAATACAGTGCTGTTATAGGTACTGAGAATAGAGTGATCAACAGGGAAGAAAACGTGCTGTCTTGGGGCCTTGCTGGCGGGTGGATGGTAGACACTCAATTGTGTGAGGCTCATTGGCCATAGAGGAACTCATGCAGGAGAAACTCACCTTGCCTAGGTTGAAAGGAGGGGAATCAGGCACATATTCCCCTCTGAGGAATATGTCAGCAGAGACTGGATGTGGCAAGACTACAGGTGGCGGGTAGGTGGGACAGAGTATTCCAGACCAGGGAACAAAAAGGGATAAAAGTCTTGGGGTGGAAAGGACATGTTTGAGAAACAGAAATAAGACCAGGTGCTGGGACCAGGAGTCCTACACTCATCACACTCAGTTACTCATGGGGTGACTTCAGAAGCCCTAAAAGATTTTGTTTCCCAATTTTTTTTTTTTTTTTGACAAGATCTTGCTCTGTTGCCCAGGCTAGAGTGCAGTGGCACGATCATAGCTCACAGCAGCCTCAATCTCTCGGGCTCAAGTGATCCACCCACCTCAGCCTCCTGAGTAGCTGGGACTACAGATGAATGCATCATGCCCAGCCGATTTCTTTTGTTTGTTTGAGATGGAGTCTCGCTCTGTCACCCCGAGTGGAGTGCAGTGGCATAATCTTGGCTCACTGCAACCTCCACTTCCCAAGTTCAAGCTATTCTCCTGCCTCAGCCTCCCTAGTAGCTGGGATTACAGATGCCCACCACCACACCCAGCTAATTTTTGTATTTTGAGTAGGGACGGGGTTTTGCCATGTTGGCCAGGCTGGTCTCGAACTACTGACCTCAAGTGATAACGCCCGCCTCAGCCTCCCAAAATGCTGGGATTACAGGCATGAGCCACTGTGCCTGGCCCAATGCAATTTTAAGATGATTTTATGTATATTGTAGGAGAGAAAAATAGGTAAATATATTAAGAGTATTAAGAGCCAAGGCTTTCGATTGCCCTGATAAAAGATATACAAATACAAAGTCCAAGAAGAGGGAAAAACCTATAATGTACAATTTGAATTGGAAATACCAATATGAATTCATGATTTTTTTTAAACCCTAAATGTGACTTAAAGCGATGACACCTCTGTAGCAACGAGCTCTCCCAGCACTAAAGACCATTCCTCACTAAAACGAATCAATGTTCCTTAGAAAGATGGCTGATTTTGGCCGGGTGCAGTGGCTCACGCCTGTAATCCCAGCACTTTGGGAGGCCGAGGCGGGCAGATCACAAGGTCAGGAGATCGAGACCATCCTGGCGAACACAGTGAGACCCTGTCTCTACTAAAAATACAAAAAAGTAGACAGGCATGGTGGTGGGCACCTGTAGTCCCAGCTACTTGGGAGGCTGAGGCAGGAGAATGGCATGAACCTGGGGACAGAGCTTGCAGTGCGCTGAGATCACGCCACTGCATTCCAGCCTGGGCGACAGAGCAAGACTCGGCCTCAAAAAAAAAAAAAAAAAAAAAAAAAGATGGCTGATTTTGGCCAAGTGCAGTGGCTCATGCCTGTAATCCCAGCAATTTGGGAGGCTAAAGGCAGGCAGATGCAGATCACTTGAGGCCAAGAGTTTGAGACCAGCCTGGCCAACATAATGAAACCCCATCTCTACTAAAAGTACAAAAATTAGCCAGGCGTAGTGGCAATGCCTATAATCCCAGTTACTCAGGAGGCTGAGGTGGGAGGATCACTTGAACTCTGGAGGCAGAGGTTGCAGTGAGCTGAGATCATGCCACTACACTTCAGCCTGGGTGACAGAGTGAGACTCTGTCTCAAGAAAAAAAAAGGAAAGAAAGAAAGAAAAAAGAAAAAGAAAAATGGCTGATTCCACATCTGGAGCTGGGAAAGTAAAAAAAAATTGTGCCTGGGACATCTAGTTGTGTCAAAAGCAAGCAAGTGCTCACAGAACTTTTGGGGTATGTCAGAATGGATGTAGGAGTTAGCTTAAAAGGGCTCCCACTGGGGCCCTCTCCCAATCTAGATCATTCTGGCCAATAAGGTGAAACCCCGTCTGTACTAAAAATACAAAAATTAGCTGGCCATGGTGGCATGCACCTGTAGTCCCAGCTACTCAGGAGGCTGAGGCAGGAGAATTGCTTGAACCCAGGAGGCAGAGGTTGCAGTGAGCCGAGATCGTACCACTGCACTCCAGCCTGGTGACAGAGTGAGACTCCATCTCAAATTAAAAAAAAAAAAAAAGGCTCCCACTGGACACATAAGGTACAGTTCGAGCACAAAAAAATAATGACTGTAACCAATTGTGAAATATTAAATGGATACCTGGCATGGTGTAGTCCCAGCACTTTGAGGCCAAGGCAGGTGGATCACTTGATCTCAGGCAACATGGCAAAACCCCATCTCTACAAAAAATACAAAAATCATCTGGGTGTGGTGGCATGCACCTGTGGTCCCAGCTACTCAGGAGGCTGAGGTAGGAGGATCACTTGAGCCTGGCAGGTTGAGGCTGCAGTGAGTGGTAATTGCGCCACTGCACTCCAGCCTGGGCAACAGACCGTGATGCTGTCTCAAAAAATAAAAGAAATACTGAATGGATAAAAACCCTAAATCTATAGTTTAAAAAAAGAAAAAAAATAAATTTTCTACCTTTGGAGATTAATATCATACCAATACCTTATTCTGAAAACTGGTAAAGGGAAATAAGCATTTACCTTGCCTTTTAGAAGGACCCTACTTTGGCCGGGCGCTGTGGCTCATGTCTGTAATCCCAGCACTTTGGGAGGCTGAGGCAGGTGGATCACTTGAGGTCAGGAGTTTGAGAAGGACCCTACTTTTTCCAGTTGGTGAGAGAAAGCTCCTTCCTAGGTAATTATGCCCTTATAAATGTAGAAGTGGGAGAATTAGAAAAGCACCTTTTGTAATTTCTGATGAAATAACCAATTCAAGCAAGAATCACTGTAGATGGCGATAAGAGAAAGTTTTTCAGCGTATACACACAGTGTCAAAGAACCATGCAGACGACTTGCTAATTGCCAAGAGGGAAACATAACCTTTACAGAAAAGATCTGACCGTGTCCATCCTAACCAAGCAATCATACTTAGCATCACTGCTTGTGGGATGGCTTCATATCATATGCCTTCTGATGTGAGGCAATGTGACATATATAGCAAGTTTGAGGAATTAGTCCCAAGACTGGGTAACCTGAATCTAACCAAGTAATTGGGGGAAAACCCCTCAAAACTCAGGGAGACAGATGAACACATTAAGTGACATCAAAGAAACAGTAAGACAAATCTAGAATGTTGAACAGTCTAAAAGACAACTGCCCTAGTATCCTCAAAGATCCAATTCCAAGAAGAAAAAAACTGGATGATTGTAGATTAAAAAGAAAGGGGTGAGAAAAGGACATAAAAAAATGCAATGTTGAAACTTGATTGGTTCCTGTTCTGGGAGTTTTTTAAAAGCTATATATTAAAACATCATGCTATACACCATAAATCTATACAATTTTTATTTGGTAATTATACTTAGGAAAAATTAAATGCTATAAAAGGCATTCAAATTGGAGAAGTTTAATGCTAGATGACATTAAAAATTATTAACTCATTAAACATGATGATTCTATTATGATTGTGTAAGAGATGTATATGACGTATTTAGGGGTGAATGGTCATGATGTCTGCAAGTTTCTTTTTTTTTGAGATGGAGTTTTGCTCTGTCACCCAGGCTAGAGTGCAGTGGCACTATCTTGGCTCACTGCAACCTCCACCTCCCAGGTTTGAGCAATTTTCCCACCTCAGCGTCCTGAGTAGCTGGGATCATAGGCATGTACCACCATGCCCGGCTAATTTTTTGTATTTTTAGTAGAGACGGGGTTTCACCATGTTGGCCAGGCTGGTCTCCAACTCCTGGCCTCAGGTGATCCGCCTACCTCGGCCTCCCAAAGTACTGGGATTACAGGTATGAGCCACCATGCCCAGCCGATGTCTCCAACTTTCAAATGGTTCAGGGCTGGGTGCAGTGCAATCCCAGCACTTTGGGAGGCCGAAGGAGGCGGATCACCTGAGGTCAGGAGTTTGAGGCCACCTTGGCCAACGTGGTGTAATCTCGTCTCCACTAAAAATACAAAAATTAGCCAGGCATGGTGGTGCACACCTGTAGTCCCAGCTAATGGGGAGGCTGAGGCAAGAGAATCACTTGAACCCGGGAGGCAGAGGTTGCAGTGAACCAAGATTGCACCACTGCACTCCAACCTGGGTGACAGAGCAAAACTCCATCTCAAAAAGAAAAAAAAAAGTTCAAATGGTTGAGAAAAGACAACACTTGTATACTGTTGGTAGGAATGTAAATTAGTACAGCTATTATGGAAAACTGTATGGCGGTTCCTCAAAAAACTAAAAATAGAATTACCATATGGGGCTGGGCACAGTGGCTCACACCTCTAATCCCATCATTTTGGGAGGCCGAGGTGAGCGGATCACCTGAAGTCGGGAGCTCGAGACCAGCCTGGCCAATATGGTGAAACCCCATTTCTACTAAAAATACAAAAATTAGTTGGGCGTGGTGGTGGGCGCCTGTAATCCCAGCTACTTGAGAGGCTGAGGCAGGAGAACCGCTTGAACCCGGGAGGCGGAGGTTGCAGTGAGCTGAGACCGTGCCATCGCACTCCAGCCTGGGCAACAAGAGTGAAACTCCATCTCAAAAAAAAAAAAAAGAATTACCATATGATCCAGCAATCTTGCGTCTGGGTATTTACTAAAGAGATTTGAAATCAGTATGTCGAGGAGATACCTGCACTCTCATGTTCGCTGCAGCACTATTAACCACAGTGAAGTTACATAGTCAAACCGAGTGTTCATCAGCAGATGAATGGATAAAGAAAATATGGTATATAGGCCGGGCGCAGTGGCTCAAGCCTGTAATCCCAGCACTTTGGGAGGTCGAGGCAGGCGGATCACGAGGTCAGGATATCGAGAGCATCCTGGCTAACACGGTGAAACCCCATCTCTACTAAAAGTACAAAAGAATTAGCTGGGCGTGGTGGCAGGCGCCTGTAGTCCCAGCTACTCTGGAGGCTGAGGCAGGAGAATCACTTCAACCTGGGAGGCGGAGTTTGCAGTGAGCTGAGATTGCACCAGTGCACTCCAACCTGGGTGACAGAGCAAGACTCCGTCTCAAAAAAAAAAAAAAAAAAGAAAGAAAGAAAGAAAATATGGTATATATACCGTGGAATGCTATTCAGCCTTTAAAAAGAAATTTTGTCATTTGAGACAGCGTTAATGGAATTGGAGAACATTATGCTGAGTGAAGTAAGCCAGGCACAGAAAGACAAATACTGTATGTTCTCACTTATAAGTGGAATCTAAAACAATCGAACTTAAAGGAGGAGAGAGCAGAATAGTAGTTACCAGAGGCTGGGGGTCTGGGGTAAATGGGGATATGATGGTTAAAGGTTACAAAGCTTCATTGGACTGGAAAAATAAGCTTTTCTTTTTCTTTGAGATATACTGCACAGCAAAGTGAATATAGTAAATAATTCTTGGACATTTCATAAGTGTTGAGGGTAAATATCTTTTTTACATTTTTAACATATTCCCTCCTCTGAATGTAGAGAGTAAATTTCAAACATTCTCACCACAAAAAAAGTAAGTATTTAAAAGTGATAGATGTTGGGCCGGGTGCAGTGGCTCACGTCTGTAATCCCAGCACTTTGGGAGGTGGAGGTGGGTGGATCACCTGAGGTCAGGAGTTGGAGACCAGCCTGGCCAACATGGTGAAACCCCGTCTCTACTAAAAATACAAAAAATTAGCCGGGCATGGTGGCGGACGCCTGTAATGCCAGCTACTCGGGAGGCTGAGGCAGAAGAATCACTTGAACCCGGGAGGCGGAAGTTGCAGTGAGCCGAGATTGCACCACTGCACTCCAGCCTGGGCAACAAGAGTGAAACTCCATCTCAAAAAAAAAAAAAGTGATAGATGTTAATTTGCTTGATTTAATCATCCCACAGTGTATTCATGAATCATAACATCACTTTGTACGCCATAAATATATACAACTATAATTTGCCAATTTACAATTAAAGGTTAAAATTTTTAAAAATAAAAGGTAATGACAACAAAAAAAATGGATAAGTAGACAGAAAAATCGATTAATACAGAAGCTGGCAAAAACTAGTAAAGCAAATATGGCAAAATGTAGAATTTGTTGAATCTTTCAGTATTTGGGTGTTTATTGTTCTTTTTCTATGTTAGAAATTTTTCAAAATAAAAAGTTGCAAATGATTTCCATATTATTCTGATTTTTACACAGTAACAGAAAACATTCCTGGCTGCAGCTCATTAATATTTCTTCTTTGTTCTCCTGAGGAATCAAAAGATTCTCATTTATGATATGTCAAAAGGCACATAAAGAAACATATCCAAACTTTGTTGTCTCTTCATTCAAGTTTGGCTTTAATATTTTATTAAAAATTTTTGTATTTGTAAATATTAAAACACTGAAACTTGCTACTGACACAAGAACGACAATGCACTAACAATAAAATCAAAGTAGAAGCTAAACTATTCAGAAGCAGTAGCAACTCCATGATTCCAAGGTAATTTAAACAGGCAATTTCAGAGTGCTTCAAGATGAAGGCGCAAAGCAGCCTCTCAGCCTGCAGTGATGCTACGACACCGGCAGATGGCGCTGCAAAGCTTCTCAAATGCAGCGGGAAGTCCATTTACCAACGGCTGTTGCGATCTCTTAATTAGCTTGAACTGAGTTTGTATTAGAATTTATAATTTTTACTGCATATTGCAGTTACTCGTATATTACTGACACTGGAACAGACATGTTTTAACAAACTGGTTGAGCCGTATCAGTGCGAACCAGCTGAATGTCAGCGCTGTTCCCTCCTGTGACAGAAGCCACCGGCGCCTGCCTGAGGGCACTCCCCTCACTGGGACTCTCAGTACCACGCCCACCTGTCCCCAAGGTTTGTTTCATCACTAAGCCCCACCTTCCAGCATTTTCACCTTTCTCCTTCACTTGATCCTTCTTCCTAACATCGTGTTAACACACTCCAAACTAAAAAAGTTCCTCAACTGCATATACTCTGCTCCCTCCATTTTTTTCTTTCATTGCAATCACTGCCAAACATTTTGAAAATTCTCTCCTCACCTCCACTGCCTTTACGCTTTTCCTCCAAATTATTCCTTAACCCTCTGACATCTGGGGCTTCTGATTCCACCTCTCCAAAGAAATGCTCCCACCAAGACCATGGAGGCCCCTCTCGTTGCTGGTGGATACTCGTTCATTTTCCCCGCCACCACCCATCAGCAGCGTTCCACGCCGCCCTTCCTTCCTTCCTTCCTCCCCTAGCTTCATCACACCACGTTACTAGGTTTTTCCTGTCTCACTGGCTCCTTTCCCTGCTCTCCTTTTTATATGTTTCCTGCTTTCTTCCTCAGCCTTCTCTGCTCCCCACACCTATATGTTGATGATGCCCAAATCTCTGTCTCCAGCCACGACCTCTCTTTCCCCAAGCTCCATTTGCATAAACTGTCTCTGATGAGATTTAGGGCGCTTACGGTGGTATGGCTGTAGACAACTGTCTCAGGAAACAGACCCATGACCCACCCAGTTGCCAAGTCAGAAACAGGATGTATACTCTTGACTTGTCTCTCTCCCCTACACAGCAAAACAATCCCAAGACATGTCAATTCTATCTCCTGAGCAACCCATAAAACGATTTCTCTTCTTTCCATCTTCCATTACCCTAATTCTGGTGTTCATTCTCTCTCCCTGGGATGGCTGTAAAAGCCTCTGATTTCTCCCCTTTCCAAACCAGTCTCCACACTGCAACCATAGTGATCTAAGGCACAATTCTCACCTTTTCAGTCTTAGGCTTAAAGTTCAACATCCCTCTGGATACAGTCTAAATCTTTAACACGGCTGAAAAGGCCCAGCAAGAGCTGGACCAAGCCCACCTCTCCAGCTTCACCTTTCCTCATTTCTCCTTTGCACCCTCTGCCTCTGAACAAGTTACAGTCTTCCAAAGTTGTCATGTTTCTTGACCTTTGCTGTCTCCTCTGCCCAGAATGCAATTTCCCTGTCTGGCTAACTCCTGTCCAGCATTTGGCCTCAGCATGGACATCTGTTCCTCTAGGACGCTTCCCCTGATTCACCAAGACCAGCTTAACTGCCCCTACTGGCTGTTCCTATAGCAATTCTTTACCACAGACTACTGATTTTTTGTGTTTGTTTTGTTTTGGCAGTCTGACATAACTTTATACTAATGCAGCTTCTAGCCCTGTCCCCCACTCCTTCCTGATCAGTATCCCAATGTCCCTCCTATATGGAGCCACCACTACCCCACAGGATCCTGTACCACCCTTCTCCCAGAACTTATCACACTTTTTTTTTGTAATTGTGTTTCCATTCTCCAATAAATTGTGAGTGCCACAAAGAACCATTTCTATCTCACTTACCACTTGGAAGTGACTGGCAGGTAGTAATTGCTCAACAAATGTTCTATGAGTGAATGAATCCTTGGGATAATTATAGTACTAACCATCTTATTTAGTTATGACAGTTCAATAGAAACACGTAAAATAATGCTTTTATAGTTTACATACTGCTATAGAGCTATTGTATTATATTATTATTATTCTATTCCTACCCTCTATTGCTTGAGAGTAGGATATTGCCTTATTCAATTTTGGTTATTGTCCCAGAACTCAGGGATATATGTCTGGCATATATTGTTTTTAACCAATTTTTGTTGACTGTATCAATGATTGTAAGAAGTGAACAAAGGGCCAGATAATTGAACTATCCTGGACCACACACAGCTACCCTGTTCCAGAAGCAGGACTATAATCCCATCTGGAAAAAGGGAAACTTGGAAGTTGACATCTAAATGAAATTCCAGCATGGATGAGAGAAGCCCTGATTTCTCTCCATCAAGAGACTAGCCAGCTATGGAAGCCACCAGAGCCCCAGACCTCCATGGTCAAGTATTCACATAGTAGACATGACCCAGACAAGAGGGTGCGTATTTCAGCGTGGAGGGGAGACTGGGCCCTTGGTTTCCTGTGTCTTTGTAGTCAGTTCTAACCTCAGCCTCAGGCACTGGTGTTGGGGCCCTATTCATCCTCATCTGCACGTCCCTCAGTTCTTTTCCTGTTGCTATTATCCTATAGAGTCAGCAAGTCATGGAAGAGGTTTTACAGTCTAACCCTGTGGGGGTGTCAGGAGTTGCCTCCTGCCAGGTCTTCAGCATAAAAATCCCCCCTCCTCAGCTCCCAGTCAATTCTTCATCCCCACCCCTAGACTCTCCCAAATACCCCTGATGAAACCCCTGAGGTGGAAAAAGATAAAGACAAGCAAAGATAAACAGCACAGGAAGCAGAGGTACAAATAGAATTCTGATTTTTCTCCTTTCTCTCCACATTTTGAGGAAATGAATCCAATGTCCTCACCCCACCTCCTGCAGCGGAGAAGTCCCCTGAGCATCTCTGAACATCATGAACCCTCAAAGTAAGCTTAGCTTGGGCCCCTTTTCCTTTTCTATCAGTGAGGCCAAAGAGCCCCAGATGGGAGACAGGTGGATTTTTCTCTCAGCTGGGACCTTTTCTCTTTCTTGTCTAGCACATTTTGGGAAACCTTCAAGTACATTCTCATGCTGGTATTATTTAAACTTTGCACTGGAGTGAATTCCAGGAGTTATGTCCACACTGAGACCAATGGAGATGAACCTAAAGCAATATGTGGCCAAACACCTTAGCCTCTTTAAATATACTTTCCTTTGCTCCTTGGTTAACAGGGTCTGTCTGCTCGCATTAGAGAAACTGCCCAGTGACTCAGATCCTGAAAGGATCTGCTTTAGAGAAAAAAGGAGTCTGGTACTTCTCACTCCATCTAGTGGGCAACCTGTCCAACTACACTTTTTGCTATCATCCAATACAGACAACACTGGCAGTCAATAAAAAAGCTCATTCTCCCATTTCTAAAAGAATTCAATCTAGGAGTCTAGCTGCTGGCTTAACAAAGGGATATACAGCAAAGCCTAAGGTGCCCTGACTCACGAGAGAGCTGATTTCTGCCGAAATGCTGAGGTGAAACCCTAAAATGGTTCTGGCCACCTGCTAGGTTCTAGCTCAGACCCTGCACTGGATCATCTTTGTTCCACCCCCAAACCAGAGTAAATGGAATTCAGGAGGCTGGTTCTGTGCCCGCCCCTATGTACCTCAAATACTCGTAGCTGCCAAGCTTTTAAACAATGAAACTTAACACTGTACTTAAAGGGCTGTTCTGCTCAAATCATAAATGTGCACGCTAGTTGTTCACCAGTAATTAAAACTACTCGTACACATTTAATCAACATTTTCACAAGCGTTTTGCCTTAACTAAAAATTTGTATCAACATGAAGTCCTAGAATTATACTGCATGAGCCCCCAGGATTTGGAGAACATCATTCACCCTTCTTAATCCAAAAACTTGGGTGCCTGAAGGTGGGGTTTTGATCATGGCCAGGCTTCAAATTTAGGTCAGGCTCTGGTGGTACATCCTTATATGCTTGGTGCTCAGCACAGGTCAAGACACACAATAGACCCTCAATAAATATTTGCTGAATTTGAACAATTCCTGTAAAAATCTCATTAAGAGACATCAGCTTGGGACACAGTTCCTCTCTTACTGTTCCTTCTCCCAGAAGCTCCTGGAATGAGCAGGTCTGGCGGCAGGGGGCACACAGGGCTGCTGCTCAAATCGGAGAATGGCACAAACTCCAAAAGGGAGCTGGATTTAGACCTCCCCTCCCCATGTAGATAACGGGATTCCTAAGGTGCAGAGTGGGAGAATGGGTAGAGGAAGCAGGTTTCAGAGACTGAGAACCTACTAAACTCCTAAGAGAACTTTCCCTTGCAAAGAGAATGCATGAAAAAAGAAGGGAGAAGAGGAGAGAAGCCTCCCACAGCTGTTAGCCTGGAACAGCCGCTCTCACCTCAGTTCATCTGGGGAAGGGGCTACAAAGCAAACAATCTTTATTCACAATTGGGGTGGCAGAGGGGAGATACCCCCAGGTCAGTCCAAAAGCAAAGATACTGGGAGGGAAGATGGCGCTGGGCGAGGAACTCAGCACTCATCCTCACCCAGCAGGGCATAAGGGTTTCGGCCAGCCAGGCTGGACCCTGGAGCCGAGGTTGGGGTCTCCTCATCCCCTTCTCCCTCCTCATCCGCATCCCGGTCCTCCTCTCCCTCCTCCTCACAGGAGCTGCTCAGCTCTTCCTCTTCCTCCTCCTCCTCGTCACCTGCTGGCCCCACCCTGCCCTGCAAAACCACCAGCTCCGTGGTCTCTGGATGGGACTCCCAGGTGCCTGGGGAACCAAAACAAGAAAAAAATGGAGGAGAGTTTTGAGCAAGAACTAAAGCCAAGGAAAGATGGGGAAGAGGCAAAGACTAGGAATAACAATAATCTTTAGAGCTGCTGGCATTCATTCATTCATCCATTCATTCAACTTCCTATGTGCAGATTGCTGAACAGAACCTTTGTGCACATCAACTTCAATCTTTACAATCACTATGCTAAGGGTCAATTATTACCCTCAGTTTGCAGATCAGGAAAATATCACAGATGTTAAGTAACAGAGCTAGCCAACAGGTACAGAATCCAGGTTTGACCCTCTCTCTGGCCACAAAGCCCACACCCTTTTACCTACGCTATAGCAGGGGGCTGGGGAAGAATATCTGGGCTCTGACCTTTCTGTTCACTGTAGCCTGGGGGATGAAAACACAGGCTGAGGCGGCCGTCCACTGCCAGCCGCAAGAGACTGTTGGCTGCTCTGTACACATCATTCCGAGCCGCCTTGGCTGTCTTGTAACCACGTTTCTCTGCCCAGGCTGGAGGAAGAAAAGAATAATGGAAAGGGAAAGCATTAACCAGGTACCAGTTATACTCCCACTCCCATAACACAGTCCTTCCAGTTTTCCCCAAAACATTCCAGGCCAGAGATCTTACTGGCTATGCAACAAAAATCTAGGGGTGAGTGGACAGCAGCTTCATCAATGGCAGAATCTCTGAGGAGAGGAAAGGAGACAGGGAAGGGTAAAAGGCGAGGCAGGTAAGGAAGAGCAGCTGAAACCAGGTGGGGCGAAGCCAGGCACATGGAACTCACCTTCACAGATGTCCCAGGCACACCAGGGGTGTTCCGCTGAGGGGTCCTCAGCCTCTGGGTGGCGCAGGTGGAGCAGGGCCTGCACGGGAATTCGGGAGGCCAGGTAGCCCACAGCAGTGTAGGGCTCCTGGATCTGGGCGATAGGGTAGATCCCTGCCAGAACCTGAGGGAAATGAGCACTCAGTACTTTCCTCAATGTCCCACCTTCTCTCTTTCCCTTACCCACCCTCCCCGTCATACCTGCAACTGCCTAGGCAGAAGAGATGGGAAGATGAGGCCTGGGCAGTCACAGAGCTTCACAGAGGGGGTAAGAAAGTAGGTCTGAAAGTATCGGGTATGGCCCGGGGTTCTGGAGACACTCACGACTTTCCGCCCCACCAGCCCATTGATCAGCGAGGACTTTCCCACATTAGGGAAACCTGAGGAAGGCAAGGAAAATTAACGTTTAACAGGTTTCTACTCTGTGATGGGACTTGGTGCTATACCTATAGGTAAAAGGGGAACTAAGGCTCAGAAATTAAGGAAATGGTATTGCAGAATACAAATCACGCTCTGGGCTGCCAGGGTTAAATCCTGGCCCTTCCACTTACCAGCTTTGTGATGTCAGGGCAACTAACTTTCTGAGCCTCTGTTTCTTCATTTTACAGTGTGGACACCTCCCTACCTCAGGGTGGTCAGGATTAAATGAGATAACCAATACAACTTGTGTGGGTCAGTGCCTGCAGTACAGTAAGTACCCAGTACCAGTGATCCACATCTCATAATTACTATGACTTGGCCTGGCACAGTGGCTCACGCTTGTAATCCCAGCGTGATTACTTTGGGAGGCCAAGGCGGGTGGATCACCTGAGGTCAGGACTTCAAGACCAGCCTGGCCAACATGGTGAAACCCCATCTCTACTAAAAATACAAAAATTAGCTGGGCGTGGTGGTGGGCGCCTGTAATTGCAGCTACTTGGGAGGCTGAGGCAGGAGAACCACTTGAACCCAGGAGGCGGAGGTTGCAGTGAGCTGAGATTGCACCATTGCACTCCAGCCTGGGCAATAAGAGGGAAACTCCATCTCAAAAAATAATAATAATAATTACGATGACTTGTCCAAGGAGAAAACTGGAAGCCTTGGGGCTCACTGCCACTCTGCTCACTCACCACCACCAGTTTTTGTGTTTCTGGCTGACTTCAGTGCCTTCATCTCCCTTCCACAGAGCATCTCCTTTACCCCACCTCAGCTGCCCACTCCCATGGTAATACCTGCATCTTGTCACTTCACAGCTCCAAAGCCTCAATTCCAAGCACCCCTCTCTGCCCTGACAACTCATCTTTCCAGCTCACTTACTCTGGTTACTCCATGCCAGTAAGTCTTTGACCCCTGACCTTAACACAGTAACACTATGCAATACCCAACTCGTGTCCTCAATTTCCTTCTTACTTGACTCAGATTTCATGATCCAGCTCCTCAGCCAGGGCCGTTCACAGACCTGGAACTCCCTGGTCCCACTTCTCCCCTCTATCTTACTCACCTGGCAAAATCCCAACCCTGTAAAATCCAGCTCTGCCCATTCAGCACTGCTCCTGGGCAGCTGACTGTGGCTAAGAAAAGATGTACCACTGTGCTCACTCTTTACAACACATGCAAGTATCTAGGAGGAAGGGAGGGAAGGAGGGAGAAAAAAGTTCTCCTTTGACGACCACCACCAGACCTAGTTCTCTGTCCGCTTTGCAGGAAAACTCCTTAAAAGACTTACCTACTTTTTTCACCATTTCTTCCTGCTATCTTCTTTGTAACTGTAAACTACAACATACAAAAAAATGCACAGAACATACATGTGCAGCCTGATGAACCCCATACCACCCAATGTGTGACAACATGTTCCATCTGTCCTTGTTTTTTTTTGTTTTTGTTTTTGAGACAGAGTCTCACTCCCTCACCCGGGCTGGAGTGCAGTGGTGCGATGTTGGCTCACTACAACCTCATCCTCCCAGGTTCAAGCGATTCTCGTGCCTCAACCTCCTGAGTAGCTGAGACCACAGGCGTGCGGCTCCACACCTGGCTAACTTTTTGTATTTTTAGTAGAGATAGGGTTTTGCCATGTTGGCCAGGCTGGTCTCAAACTCCTGACCTCAAGTAATGCGCCTGCCTCAGCCTCCCAAAGTGCTAGGATTACAGGGATGAGCCACCATACCGGCCGCCACTCATCCTTCTTGATCATAATCCTCTCCCTCTATACATGCAAGCTTTATCCTTTTAAGGAAATCAACTCCTTACATTTCTCTTTAGTTTATGACCTGTGTATCTCTCAACAATGCAGCTTAATTTTGCAGCTTTCAAACTTGATAGAACTGAAATTGTGCAGTATGGATGCTATTGGGTCAGACTCTTTTCACACAATGTTATGTGAAGTTGTTGCACCTTCTCTCATGGGCCTACTCCAGTTTGGCTTTCTCCACCCCACTGAAACCACGGATCTTCACATTGCCAAGCCTGCTGAGCAGCTCTCTGTTCTCTCATTTGGCCTGTCAGCAACAGTTGACACAGCTGATTCCTCCTTTCCTCTTCAAACACCTTCTTCATTTGACTTCTGGGACGCTCCCTTGGTTTTCCTCCTTCTCACTGTCCTTTGCCCAACTAAATGCTGGCTTGTCCTAAGGCTCAGTCCTTGACCTCCTCTTCTCCAACTATTTCCTTTCTCTCCTACATCTCATCCAATTCCATGGCTTTTTTTTTTTTTTTTTTGACGAAGTCTTGCTCTGTCACCCAGGCTGGAGTGCAGTGGTATGATCTTGGCTCACCGTAACCTCCGCCTCCAGGATTCAAGCAATTCTCCTGCCTCACCCTCCTGAGTATCTGGGACTACAGGCACGCACCACCACACACGGCTAATTTTCTGTATTTTTTGGTAGAGACAGGGTTTCACCATGTTGGCCAGGCTGGTCTCAAACTCCTGGCCTCAAGTGATCCACCTGCCTCAGCCTCCCAAAGGGCTGGGATTATAGGCATGAGCCACTGTGCCCAGCCTAATCCTGTGGCTTTAAATACCACTTATATCCATCAATGGTTCCCCAAATTTAAATCTTTCCCAAATTCAAATTTCCGTCCTCTTCTCTCCCCTAAGCTGCTGACTACTTACCCACTGCCTATTCAACATCTCCACTAGGGATATTTAAAAAGAATCTGAAATTTCATTTCTGATTCCCCTCTCCTCCCCAAAGCCTTCAAATCTGCTTCTCCCCCAGTCTTCCCATCTCAGTATTTCCAGTTGCTCAAGACAAAAACCTGGAAGTCCTTCTTTATCCTCACTTTCCTTCACGTGCCAACTGCAAGCCATCAGCGATCTCATTTTCTCTACCTTCAAAATATATCATGCTTCCGGCCCTGTCTCACCACCTCCAGCTCCAGCATCCTACTCTAAGCAACTCTTATTTCTCTCCTAGATTACTGAAATAGCCTCAACTGCTCTCTCTGCTCCCTTTCTTGCCCACCCCCCATCATTTATTCTCTACTCAGGAGGTAAACTTATAAGAAACAAAATCAGATCCTATCATTCCCCTGTTCAAAACCTACCCTTGGCTTCTCATGAGACTTGGAATAAAATCCAAAATGGCTGTCACAGCCTCAGGGCTCTACATGATGTGGGCCCTGGTGATCTTGCTGACCTCATCCCCAGTACTTTATCCTGGCTCCCATACTCCAATCCCCTGGGCACTCTTGCTGGTCCTAGAATCTCCAAGCCCATTCCCTCCTCAAGACCCTTTCCCCACAGTTCTGAATGGCTCACTTCATCTCATCATCCAGTTCTCTCCTCAGGGAGGTTTTCCCTGAGCACCTCTCCTCTCAGTCACTCTCTATCCCCTTTCATTGCTTTATTGCCTTCACTGCCCCTACATGATTTCGGATCACAAAATCTATTTACTCACAAGAAAATAAGCTCCATGAATCTACAGACCTTTTTGCCATTTCCACAGCAGTATGTCCCATCCCTAGAATATCTGGCACCTGGTTAAGTGTTCAGTACATATTTGTTGAATGGGTAAATGAATGAGAGCTGGAGGGAAATCCAAACTCAGGGGTGCCTGTGCCACAGCAAACACTCTCCCTCTCACACCACCTGGAATAGAGATCAGCTAGAGCAGAGGCTGCTAAGAGAGGGAACAGAGGCTCCTTGTGACAGGGAGACTAGGATCAGAAGTCAGGGAAGGGACAGCCGGGTGAAATGACTGGAAAGAGGAGCAATCACTCAGCAGTAAGGCAGGTTCTTCCAAAGACAAAAAGGACACAGAGATAAGTCAGGGCACTTCCAAGGAACCCAACTACCTACTCCACACTCCCAAATTTATTCTGGGTTGGGCCCTTTTTGGTTCCAATATCACCTCGGATACCATAACTTGTCCAAGGTCTCTTCTTACCTCTCCCACCCTAAATGAAGACGGGCCCTGGGTCCTAATCATACATTCCTTTTTCCTCCACTGTGAGCTGAGACAAAGCCCTTAAGAGGAGATTCTCCTTGGCAACAAACTTAAAGGGTTAAAACCTAGAAGAATACTAATTCTTGCTGAGCTCCTACTATGATTTGATAATCACTGTACTACAGACTAATTACTACAATTCAAATGGTTTATATAAACCACTTAAAACAGTGCCTGTTACATAGTAAGCACCATATAAATACTGAGTTTTAACAATAATAATTGTTATTATTGTTATCACTATTTGTCAGGCATTCTTACACTCTCTTAACACTATTCCCATCATTCCTCACATCCATTCTTTTTTTTTAAAGACAGGGTCTCTATCAGCCAGGCTGGAGTGCAGTGGCACAATCATAGCTCACTGCAGCCTTGAACTCTTGGGCTCAAGTGATCCTCCTGCCTCAGCCTCTGAAGTAGCAGAGACTACAGGCACATACCACCACACTTGGCTAGTTTTCTTTATCTTTTGTAAAGATGGGGTTTCACTATGTTGCCCACACTAGTCTTGAGCTCCTGGTCTCAAGCAATCCTCCCACCTCAGCCTCCCAAAGCGCTGGGACTATATAGGCATGAGCCCTCACACATGGCCGTCATCCATTCTTTTACTCAGGTATCAATGTCCTTATTTTTAAAATCAAAGTAACTAAGACTCAGAGTAGCAAAATCACTTACTCAAGACCTCACAGCTGAGAAGAGGTGGAATTTAACTCAGGCTGTCATGATCCTTCCACTGCAGCAGACGCCTCTTCTGCCTTGCCCACCGCCACTGGCAGAGATCACCCCTCAGACACCCTGGGGCCTAATGAGACCTGATCGCCCTCTCTCTTCTCCGAATATGAAAACTCTGTACCTCCTTGGAGGCCACCACGCACAAGCTGCCACTTCCTTACCCACACAGCCGATGGTCACCACCCCATCCTTGTAGCGCTCTTGGGTTGGGCCAGTTGGCTCCATTGCTGAATCAGTCTGCTGCTCCACCAGGACTGCTGGGCCATCCTCCTCTTCCTCCTCCTCCCCAGAGCCATTACCCCAGGTGGCCCCAGCCACATCCCGAGCAATCTTCTCCCGCCAGCTGCTCAAGTCCACTGCTCAAAGAAGGAGAAGATTAAAGAGGTTCTCCCCAGGGCTGCTGTGCATGATGGCACATACTGTGCCCTGCACAGATTATGTAACTGGCACCCTCTGGAGTTGTACAGTGCCAACCTAAATAAGAGCAGGTCAGAGAATCTCCCAAAAGTCATTTGACCCTACCCTCCCTGGAATCACGCACGTTTCTCTGAGCTTCTGAAAAGTACTGGGAAGGCTAAAGGCAGCAAGCCACTGAGGCTCCTGACTACCTGCTGCCTCTCGTCCCACCAAGTCAGTCTGCTCCTTATTCTGTCCCTTCCCCTGGCCTCTTGCACATATCCACCATAGAGGGGTTGGCTTCAGGAAAGGTGAGCAAAATGATTCTGCATCTTTGGTCTCCCCCATGTCCTCCTACAGCCCTCCTCTAAGGGCCACATACCTTTCCCCACAGTGATGGCTTCACAGGCTCTCAGCAACTGCTCTGGCCCCAGGGCCCGAGTCCATCCTCTCCCCCGCCTCCGACTCTTCTTCAAGACTGAGATCAGAGGGCACAAAAGGATGGGCACACGGGCTTAGGCCTCTCATCTCTCCCACCACCCTTAGGCCCAAGACCAGGTGCCCCCTTGTCAATAAGCCTCTCTGTTCTCCCCTTTGTCCCCTGCCAACTCACCTCTCCCAAGTTGCCCTCTCTCATTGCCCACTCACCACTACTAGGATCCTGTGGGGTGCGGGGGTCCCGAGGAAAAGAGGTGAAAAGGACGACGTGGAGCTGGGGATAGTGTTGATGGAAATAATGCTTCCAGGCAACCACAAGAGCTGGCGGGGCCAGATCCACCTTGTTCAAAACCAGCACCAGGGCCAGTCCAAGTTCTCCAGTCACATACTCATAAAGTGCTGGCGGGAAATTCACAACCTAGGACAGAGTTGATAAGAGGATGGAGCAGTGAAAGTCAACCCAGAGTTCTCTGCCTCCAGCTCCCCACTCAGCAGGTGTAGCTCAGAGACAAGGCCCTGGTGGTAGCAGACTCTGGGCTAAAAACTATAAACCAGACAAACTGAAAAACAAAGACAAAACAGGGGTTAGTAATACTTCTGAGTCTCAGAGGGCTTCCTATAGGTCATGATTAGAGATGGAAATGAACCCAAAACAAGACAAGGAAACAGCATCACTTAGCACACTGAGGTAAAGGCTGGGATCGGAAACAGGGATGGGGGTTAGGGTAGAAATTAGTCTGCTTTTTTGTGTGTGCACAACTATGTAAGTGTGTACACGTGCATATATGCATGCATGCAAGTACGTGCACATGTGTGCATGTTTGTGTGTTAATGTGACTGTGAACATGTGTGCAAACATGCCTGTGTATATTGATGTGCACATGATGTACGTGTGAGTATGTGTGTGTACATATTATTAAGGACCTCCAACCTAAATGGTCCTCACAGACCTCCCTTTCTCCCACTGGAGGACAAGAGTGAAGTTGCAGAGCTAGGATTCACACAGGGCAGTCCAGCAGCAGTCTACAGCCTTAACTACTACTCTAGCATTCCAGGTGGGTTCTGTAGCAACTGATGTGGCAGTGCTAGAGAAATGAGATAAGGAAGAAAGGGCATCTTTGGGCTGGGCAGGAGGAAGTCCCCAGCTGCATTCATAGAATCCCTGGAGCTCCAACACTTGGATTTTCTATTGGTCTGTGATGAGCTAAAGGACAGGACATGGCTGTTTTGAAGAGAAGAGTGAGCTGGCCAAGGGAGGAATGACAGGCTATAAGAGAATAAAAAACTGAGTTCCTAACTGCGGACATCAGCACTAGGTAGAGATTAGAAAGACAGGAAGATAGATACCTCTCTGTCTCCCAACTCTTGCCTCTGACCTTTGCCCCTGAAAAACCTTTCTCCCTCCTCCTTGCCCACCCTTATCCCTAGTACTCACTGGATGTCGGATATCAGTGATAAGCAGGACGATGTCAGACATCTCTAACACCCGCCACAGCTGCCTCCATGTCTAAAAAGACAGGATCAGGAAGAGAAACTGAAAACAGAGTCCCTCTCCAGCCTGATCCCAAACCAATTTGACCATAGGTCACTATGCCCCACTCCTGTCCCTAGAGTACACTGTCACCTCCAGATTGTGCTCAAAGTAGCTGAGTTTCTCAGAGGAGTAAGCCCCATGAATCTTCCCAAGATAGTCTTGGAAGCTCCGTTCCTCTTGGCTCATTAGTTGCTCCTTGGACATCTCATAGCTCCAAGGAGGACGTCGAGGAAAGTCCAGAACTGGGAATTCAGGAAAAAGTCCAAGTGTGAGGAAATCTTCAGGATTCAAGAGTACATCCCAGACCCCTCCTTCCTCACAGTCGGCTTTTACCTTTCCAAACTCCTTCCCCAGCCCAATGCCTGTCTTGCTCTCACTCACCTGAGCCAGGCTGATACACCTCCCGGATGTCCAGCTCCAACAACTCAGCACTGACCGGCTGTAGAACTTGCTCCCGGGCTGCTCTCTTTCTCCTCTCTACCTCCTCCCTGCTGTCTCTCTCAAAATGCAGTCGGTATCTAAGGGAACAGGGACCGAGACATCCAGAGCAATCCTGTGGCCACAAACTCCTATTTTCTCCCCTCTTGTACAATCAACTTCGCAAACCATTCTCTCCAGAGTCGTTCAAGTCTCCTCTCTCAAGTCAGACTTCCCCCAAGTCCTTCTTTCAGGCAATACTCAGCCTTCTCCTTCTAAAAGCCCAACTCTCTCCAGCCCCTCTGGAAAGGAAGACTGTGGCCCGCTGTGGGGAGCCGAGTGGCTAGCGGAGAACTGTGGCATCCCAGGCCCACCGTCTTCACCAGTAGCAGCCCGCTTTCCCCCAAAGCTCTGACTTCCGGGTAGGCGGGAAAGCCGGGACCAGCGCCCCCTCCCACCCTCACCGATTTGGGTCGTAGCCTCGTGGACCCAGCCCCTGAGAAGGCTGCTGGTTAAGCCTGCGGATATGATGGGTCACAGACTCCCCGTCCGAGGTGTCGGTCTGTTCCTCTCGCCGCTCCCGGCTCCCGCTGCGGCTGTTGGAACTGGAGCGCAGCCCATCTTGAAGCCCTGCGGGGAGGGGCCGGTGACGCCAGTGCTGGCCAGCTCTCAGGGGCCATAAGACCCTCTCCCCCATCGGCCTGACTCCCTTTCATCCCACTCAACTTCTTCCGATGTTCAGTCCTCCCAGACACCCTATTTGGGACCCTCCCGGATGTGCGTGGGGGGAGTCACTCCTTCAGGGAGCAGTGGGGACGGCGCCCCGTGCTAGCTGGAGGGATTCCCCTCCCCCAACTCTCCATCCTTCCCCACCCCTTCCAGATGTAGGGGGGGTGGGGGATCCCCTCCGCGATAGGCCGCGAGGGTTGACGCGGTCCCACGACCCCCTCCCACGATCCCCAGAGGTGCAGCGGGCACACCCCTCCTTCCAGATGTGCGGAAGCCCGAGCCCCGCCCCCTCCTCCCGCTCCCGCACTGACCTCTCTTCCGCTCCCGTTTGTCCTGCAACTGCTTCTTCTTCTGCTTCACGCTGAATGGCTTCTTCCTCGGCATGGCCCGGACCAGTCACCTGGCCCGCCCTCCGCCGAGCTCCCGCCGCCTCAACTGACTGCCCCCCGGGGCAGCCCCCGCCGCAGGGGCCCGGGACCCTAGAGGAGGCGGGGCTAGCAGGTGACGTCAGCGGGCGGGCCCGACAGAATTACCGCCGCGGCGGCGATGGAAGGCGGACGGGGGAGATATAGTCACTTCCCTCCAGGAGCGAGGCGAGAGGATGATGCGGGGTGGGCTACTGGCACGTGAGAGCCAGTGGCACCGAGAGGGCGCCCCGGCGGCGAGGAAGGAGGCGCGCGTGGGAGGACCAGGCTAACTCCGTCACGGACGCTACCAACTCGCGTTCGGAGGAGGGGGGGCGCGTGTCATCACTACCTTGCGCTCCCGGGAGAACCTACCACTCACCTGGAGGGGGCGGCGGAGCGGAGGGCGGGGCCTACTACCTAGGGGAGAGGGGGCGTGGACACGCTGAGGCTATACTACAAAGCCCCGGGCTTGACCTTAGTGGAAAGCCGAGACTGCGTCCAGGTTGCTGGACTACACCGGGGGCACGGTCAGAGGTCTTTAGGGGAGGGCGGCGGTCTGAGAGTCCTGGGTGCCGACCTGTTGGGACCCAAATTCCTTGTGGGAACGATGATAAGGAGCAGGTTTACAGATCATAAGTGCAAAAGCGGGCGAGAAGGGAAACCCAAGCGGGACAAGGACTTTTGGGGGGAGGTCAAAGGGCACGAAGTTGTGCCTGCAGCTGTTACCATAGTAACCGAGGACCGGATGTGGCGATCTTACGGTGCGACAGTCCTCTTCTCAGGCCCTCTGGCCCGAGAGCCTGTTGACTCTGTGACACACTCTGAGGAGCTGGTTGTGGTGTTTTCCAGCGAGGGAAGAAAAGAGTAATTTTTTCAAAGCATTTATAGAAACGCAGCAAAGGGAAGGTGTGAGGTTGCCGCCATGCCTGGCAGAGACGGAGGGAGGCAGTTGGCTCCGGAATGCGGCCGCCGCAGATGTTCTCCGCAACCTTCCGGAAGTGGAATGGCGGGAGCCTCAGCATTGCTGCCCACCGACCCCCCGGAAGCGGAAACAGAATCCCCGCGTGCCCCTTCCTCACTACCCTCCAAATCCCGCTGCAGCCATTGCCGCAGACACGATGCCGAAACGAAAGAAGCAGAATCATCACCAGCCACCGACACAGCAGCAGCCCCCGCTGCCCGAGCGGGAAGAGACTGGAGATGAGGAGGATGGGAGTCCCATCGGTGAGGGGTCTGGGAGGGATGTGCACATGCCTGTCAAGCCCGTCCGGGCAAGGGGCTAGGGGCTAATAAGGTGCGAAGGAGGGGGCTGTAACGGAAGGAGGAAGGGCGCACGCGCTGGGGAGGGATGGAAGTGGGGCTCTCCCAAATGGAGCCTTGAACCAGGAGTTCTCTTACTGGAACCATCAACCTCAATACGGCCCCAGACCTTTCTGGAGAAGGCGGGGGTGGAGAGAATAAAGAGCTCTTTTGCGCAGCCGCAGAACAGTAGGGGAAAGGGGTAGTAGAGATGTTGCAGATTGCGATGACTGGGATGACAGTTTGTATCCAGACTTTGACTGAAAAGGTACAGGTGCAGCTTTCTCTAAACTAGTCCTCTGGCCAGCAGTTAAGGTGAGGGATTGGTTCATGTCTGGAGACACTTAGGTTGTTTTGGATAGCGACGGTACGGTGAAGAAAAAAAGTTGTCAGTATCTTTTCCTGCATTATCCCCTTTGATTGAATATCTACTTTTTGCAAACCCTGAAACAGCTTTGCAGAAAAAAGGGCAGATAGATGGGGTGAGAACTCCCAAGACTGCTGAAAATATACCTGACTTTACTGGTTGAATTAAGAAATAAGTAATACAAGAAAAACACCTAAGAACAGAATCATCAGTCCTTTAATCCATTCTGATGACCATATTTTCATGTCTGCTCTTAGGACCACCCAGCCTTCTGGGCCCTCCCCCCATGGCCAATGGAAAACCTGGCGACCCTAAGTCAGGTGAGGAGGAAGGGGCCCTGATCCTTGTATTAGGTCGTAGAGAAGACAGCAAGGGAGGGGATAAAACCCAGGAAGGACTTAAAAATAAAAGATCAGGGATTCCATCCCTAAATGAATGGAGAGAAGTTGTATATTTGCTGATTTAAAAACTCAATGTTGTAAAAATGTCACTTCTTCCCAAATTGATAAACAGATTTCATGCATTCCAAGTCAGAACACCCATAATGTTTTTGTGGAAATACACATTATTATAGGGAAATGCAAAATATCAAGGCGACTATCAAGACAATCTTGAAGTGGGAGGGCTTACTATGAATATCAAGATTTGTAAGCTGGGCATGGTGGCACACGCCTGTAGTCCCAGTTACTCAGGAGGCTGAGGTGCGAGGATCCTTTGAGCCCAGGAGTTTTTGAGGCCACTCTGGGCAACATAGTGAGATCCTGTCTCTAAATACAAGAAGAAAAAAAGACTTACTATAAAGCTACAATAGTTACAACGATGCAGTTTGGAAACAATGATAGACATAAGTCAATAGGACTTATGTCCCGAAGAGTCCAATAACAGGCCCATACATGTGTGGACACTTCATTTATGATGAAGATGGAACTGAAAAGTTGGTCTTTTCAATAAATGATATTGGATCAATTGGATATTCATGTGAAAAAAATGGAATTTCACCTTGCACTCATAATCATATACAAAGATCTATTTCAAATGGACTGTAGATCTAAGTATAAAAGGTAAGAGAATAATTATTCTAGAAAGTAAATGTATTTTCTAAGAGTAGCTAAGAGTTCTTAAACAGACAAGAAATGCACGTATACACACTAACCATAAAGGAAAGATTGATAAATGGAACTCCGTTAGAAAATATAAATTTGCGGCTGGGTACAGTGGCTCACGCCTGTAATCCCAGCACTTTGGGAGGCCGAGGCGGGCGAATCACGAGGTCAGCAGTTCAAGACCAGCCTGACCAACATGGTGAAACCCCTGTCTCTACTAAAAATACAAAAATTAGCCGGGCATGGTGGTGTGTGCCTGTAATCCCAGCTACTGAGGAGGCTGAGACAGGAGAATCGCTTGAACCTGGAAGGCGGAGGTTGCAGTGAGCTGAGATTGCACCACTGCACTCCAGCCTGGGGGACAGAGTGAGACTGTCTCAAAAAAAAGAAAAAACAAAATACAAACTTGCCAAATAATACCATTAAGAAATTAACAGGAAGCCATACAATAGAAGATATTTGCAATAAATATAACAAATAAAGATCCTGTATCTATAATATATAAAGAACTCTTCCAGACAAGCCATTTGAAAAATTGACAAAAACACAGGACACCTTATTAAAATGGAGATCTAAATGAACTAAAGGTCTAAATGAACAAGTACTCAATATCATTAATTGTCAAGTAAATGCAAGATAAAAATATACCACTTTGAAATTAGAACTCTTGTGTACTGCTGCTGGGATTATAAAATGGTGAAACTACTATAGAAAACAATATGAAGAGGTTCCTCTTAATTAAAAATAGAACTACCAGATGACAAAAAAATTAAAAATAGAATTACCCCAGAACTCCTGCTTCCAGGTATATATCAAAAAAAAAAAAATGGAAAGCAGGGTCTTGAGATATTTGCAGACTCATGTTCATAGCAGCAGTATTCACAATAACAAAGAGGTGGAAGCAACCCACATGTCCACTGATGGAAGGATAAATGTGGCGTGTACATACAATGGAATATTATTCAGCCTTATGAAGGAAGAAAGTGCTGTCACATACTACAACATGGATGAACTTTGAGGACTTTATGTTAAGTAAAGACATAGTGTATTATTCCACTTATCTGAGGTGTCTAAAGTCAAATTCAGGGGCTGGGCATGGTGCTTCACGCCTGTAATCCCAGCACTTTGGGAGGCCAAGGCAGGCAGATCACTTGAGGTCAGGAGTTCGAGAACAGCCTGGCCAATATGGCAAAACCCTGTCTCTACTAAAAATAGAAAAATTAGCTGGGCATGGTGGTGCACACCTGTAATCCCAGCTACTCGGGTAGCTGAGGCATGAGAATTGCTTGAACCTGGGAGGCAGAGGTTGCAGTGAGTCGAGATCACGCCACTGCACTCCAGCCTGGATGACAGAGCAAGATTGTCAAAACAAAAAATAAAAATAAAGTCAACTTCAAAGAAACAGTAGAATGATGGTTACCAGAGGCTGGGGGAAGGAAGCTGGAGGAAGGGGAGTTTTGTTTAATGGGTACAGAGTTTCAGTTTTGCAAGATAAAAAACTTTTGGAGGTCGGGCATGGTGGCTCGTGCCTGTAATCCCAGCACTTTGGGAGGCCAAGTCGGGCGGATCATGAGATCAGGAATTCAAGACCAGCCTGGCCGATATGGTAAAACTCCATCTCTACTAAAAATACAAAAATTAGCCAGGCGTGGTGGTGGGCGCCTGTAATCCCAGCTACTTGGGAGGCTGAGGCAGGAGAATCACTTGAACCCAGGAGGCAGAGGTTGCAGTGAGCCAAGATCGCGCCACTGCACTCCAGCCTGGGCGACAGAGCGAGACTCCATCTCAAAAAACAAACAAAAACTTGGAGATCTGTTTCACATCAATATGAATATATGTAACACTACTGAACTGTACACTTAAAAATAGTTAAGATGGTAAATTTTATGTGTTTTTTACCACAATAAAAACCAAACAAAACAAGGCATGATGATTCATGCCTGTAATCCCAGCACTTTAGGAGACCAAGGTGGGAGGATCACTTGAGCCCAAGAGTTCAAGACCAGCCTGGGCAGTGTGGCAAGACCCAATCTCTCATTAAATAAATAATAATAACCAAACAAAAAAATAACCACCACTTTTCACACTCACCATGGCAAAATTTAAAAACCTAACAATTCCAAGTGTTGTCAAGGCTATAGGACAACTGCTGGTGAGAGTGCAAATTGGTATAACCACTGTGAAAAAAAAGTTTGGCATTATGTATGAAACTTGAGCATAACATATACTTTATAAGCCAGTAATACCTCTACTACGTATATATTCAACAGAAATGCATACGTATGTGTAACAACATGTATAAAAATGTTTATAGTGGCATTTCTCGTTATAGCCCCAAACTGGATACCACCCACATGTCCATCATCAGTAGAATGGATAAATAAATTGTTGTGTATGCATGCAATGGGACTACACTGCAACGAAAATGAATGAACTGCTGCTACAGGCAACCTGGATGAATCTCACAAACATGATGTTGAGCGAAAGGAGCCAGACATAAAAGAATGCAGACTGTATGATTCCATTTTTGTGAAGTTCAAAAACAGGCAAAAACTAACCTATGGTGTCAGGATAGTGGTTACCTTTGGGGAGGAGGGTGGGTAATGGGAAAAGGGGCACAAGGGGAGGATCTTTTGAGGTGCTAATAAGGCTTTATCTCTTCACCTGGTGGTGGAAACTCAAGTGTGTCTACTTTGTGAGAACTGGGTTGTGCACTTAAAACTGGTGTGTCTTTATGTATGCTGTTCTTCAATAAAAAAAATTTTTTTAATCACGGTTTATCAGGATTCAGCTGCCCATTAGACACCTTTCTGTGTCTCTCTCTCTCTCTCTCTCCAGCTCTTCACAGAGGTCCTCCAGGATCAAGGGGACCACTGATTCCACCACTGCTGAGTCTCCCACCTCCTCCTTGGGGTAGAGGCCCAATTCGGAGAGGGCTTGGCCCCAGGTCTAGCCCATATGGTCGTGGTTGGTGGGGAGTCAATGCAGAACCTCCTTTTCCGGGGCCAGGCCATGGGGGTCCCACCAGGGGAAGCTTTCACAAGGAACAGAGAAACCCTCGAAGGCTCAAAAGCTGGTCTCTTATCAAGAATACCTGCCCGCCCAAGGATGACCCCCAGGTTATGGAAGGTGAGGTCCATTTTGTTATGCCCATTACTCCCAGAGTGACCTAATTTTCAGAAGATCATTCACAATCTTCTCTGGGCTTTCCTTTTTGCTTTTGAAGCAGAAGTAGACCTCAATGTTATTTCTCCCAGGAGAAAGACTACCATTCCAAAATACCTGGAAATGGTAGGGGGTAGAAAATCAGTTCTCCTTCTGTCTCTGCGTTTCATTGTATTTGTTTTCTTTGTTGCTCAAATTTTTAACTGTTCCATTTTCACTTGTTCACAGACAAATCCGACCGCCCTGTCTGCCGACATTTTGCCAAAAAGGGCCACTGTCGATATGAGGACCTCTGTGCCTTCTACCACCCAGGCGTCAATGGACCTCCTCTGTGAGACTGTGCCTTCCCATCCAGGCTGGAAGGAGCTCTCTGTGACCTAGCGGCCATTTATTTCTCTGTAGCCCTATGATGGCTACTGTGAGGCTCTTCTAACACCCTCAGTCAGTGACACACCCATCCCATCCACCACTTCCCCCGTGTGGGGTCCAGAGTGGTGTTGCATCACTGGTGCGCGGCATACGCGCTTTCTTCTGATCCAGCCTGTAGAGACTCGCCTTCGGGACCCATCTTTGCTTCCTTTCAGTTGCCTCCTGGATCTTCTTTCCCGTCATCAAATGACTGCTGAACAGGAAACCTCTTTGGTGCTGTTTCTTGTGCATCTGTCCACCTGTTCCCCAGTATTGCCCTCAATTCCTGAGAGCCCTGGAGCGGTTTCCTACCATTCCCTTCTTTTAGCTGCTTGTTTTAAGTCCTTTTTATGTGACATTCCCTACCCCCAATGTTGTCAGCTGCTTGTGAAACTCAGCCAGGTTGTCTAACCTGGGGTCAAGTTTGGGTGACTGGTGCAGAGTTACTTCCTAAAAGGCCACTCTCCCTGCCTTTGGATTTCATAGTTTCTCTGTCAGTAGCATGATCCCCACCGCTATGGTCTATCTATGATCACCGTGCTTTGTGAAACTGTGCA
Organism: Homo sapiens; assembly: GCF_000001405.40. Lineage (NCBI taxonomy): Eukaryota > Metazoa > Chordata > Mammalia > Primates > Hominidae > Homo > Homo sapiens. Next base: position 1,818,950 of record NT_167245.2, read on the forward strand.
TCCCCTTGTAGCCTTTCTCAGTGTCCGTGGCATTTTTGTGACTTCCCAGCACTAGAATAAGTTTTCCTGCCAAAATGAGTGAGGCGCTTGGTGCCCTCTGGACTTTCCCACTTCCCAACATGGGAGAATTGTGAACTTTCCATCAGACTGCCTCCCTGGCCCTCCCCATTCTTCTCCTGTTGGTTATTCTGAGTCTGACACAGACCCATGACATGTCTTATAAAGCCTCCAATGGCTTTATCCTACCTAGATCCCTTCCAGCCCATTTTAATTAGACTATGTCATTGTGAGGCCACCAGTCCATTCATTTGAATTCTGTGAATCTCCACCTTGCCTATCTTTGGGTAGAAGCTGGACAGTACTGTTGCCCTCTTCCAATCCTCTTCCCCTACATCCCTGGCACTGGTTGTTTTCTGTGAAAACAGCAGTGAACAGGTTCAGTTTTGAACTGGCCCTGAGGAAATGGGTCAGGAGTTGTATTGGCAAGAGGGAGGGGTGAGAGCTGTTGGAGAACTGAGAATGAGGTTTTTTTTTTTTTTTTCTTTTTAACTTTTTTTATATTAGTAATAAATGCAGTGGAAACCAGCATTTTATTTAATCCCTGTGTTCTAGTCATCTCTGGAGTTGCAGATGAAGCTGTTCTCACCTGGTGGAGTCAGCTTATTCTTTAGTTCATACACACTAGTGATGGGGAATGACAAAGCTTAAGGTTCTTCCAGGCTGAAAAAAACCAATGGAGGTTCCATTAGCCTGTAGGCATCAACCAGAACAAGCTGCCTTATGTTCAAGGGCAAAGTTTTGTAAGAAAAAGGAAAGGCCAGGTGTCCGTGGAGTTATTTTTAAATATTTTACTTTGCAGAGTTTGTGTTTATGGAGTGGTAATGATGAAGGAGTCTTTCAGCAGCAATTTGCAGAATGCCTGTGGGCCAGGCAATATACCAAGCACTAGAGATAACTGACAGCCAAAGCCAATGGATTTAAAATGTACAGGGAAGACAGGTTTCTCATAATCACAAATAGCATGTAAAGTTAAACCTGTCAAAAGTGCTGGGAAGAAGACAGGGAAGAAAAGAGGGTGAAAGAGAGTTGTGTAATAAAGGGAGTCAGGGTAGGAGATGCAACTGAGACAAGCTCCAAAGGATAAACAGGAGGTGGGGTGGGAGAGGGAAGTCAAGGCAAAGGTCTTCGCTAAAAGACCTAGGGGAAGAGGAGCTAAGAAACCTAGGGACAGTGGGAGATGATGCAGAAGAAAGAGGAGTTAGACCACTCAGGGCCTTGGAAAACATGAAGATTTGGCTCTTTTCTTAGAACAGAAGCCTTTGAAGAATTTTAGACAGGAGTATCATGGCTTAGGCTGGCTTTTCAAAAAAAATCAGCTTGTATGGAGAGGGCCCACCTTGGACCTGGAAGTTAATTAGAAGGCTACTGGCTACTTCAGTAGTACAAGTGAGCCATGATGGTGACATAGACTTGGGTAGTAGAGTTGGAGAAAAGTAGACATTTGAAAATTACAGGTCAAAATAAAAGTATCAGATTTCTCCAGGTAGTTCTGGCTTATGTAACTGCCATTTAAAAAGAAGTCTTAAGATAGAAGTTTATGGCTGGGCGCGGTGGCTCACGCCTGTAATCCCAGCACTTTGGGAGGCCAAGGTGGGTGGATCACGAGGTCAGGAGATCAAGACCATCCTGGCTAACATGGTGAAACCCCATCTCTACTAAAAATAGAAAAAAAATTAGCCAGGCGTGGTGGCCGGCGTCTGTAGTCCCAGCTACTCGGGAGGCTGAGGCAGGAGAATGGCGTGAACCCAGGAGGCGGAGCTTGCAGTGAGCCGAGATCGCACCACTGCACTCCAGCATGGGCGACAGCGCAAGACTCCATCTCAAAAATAAATAAATAAAAAATAAAAATAAAAATAAATAATTTTTAAAAAGATAGAAGTTTATTTCTCTCACAGGTCAAGAGGTGGACAATCAACAATCCAAGATGTGTGACAATGCCACCACTACAAGGTCCCTGAGTATTCAGAACCTCAACCCCCAACTTTCAGATTCACAACCACAAGCTTCTATTCACTGTCCAAAGTGAAGCTCTGGCTTCCTCATCCATGTTCAAAGCCTCAGGATGGAGGAAGGGCTGAGAACACCAGTTGTCTGGGAAGAAACTTCTTTTTTTTTTTTTTTTTTTTTTTTTTGAGACGGAGTCTCAGCTCTGTCGCCCAGGCTGGAGTGCAGTGGCATGATCTTGGCTCACTGCAAGCTCCGCCTCCCAGGTTCACGCCATTCTCCTGCCTCAGCCTCCCGAGTAGCTGGGACTACAGGCGCCCACCACCATGCCCAGCTAATTTTTTGTGTTTTTAGTAGAGATGGGGTTTCACTGTGTTAGCCAGGATGGTCTCGATCTCCTGACCTGGTGATCTGCTTGCCTCGGCCTCCCAAAGTGCTGGGATTACAGGTGTGAGCCACCACGCCCAGCCGGAAGAAACTTCTTAAAAGTTAACTTATAACTCCTCAACTTATGGGCAAGCATTTAAGTTGAGTTTATTAATTCTACAGAGGTTATCTCCCTAAAAGGGGGCTAGGAATGACAGGATTAGGGTTTGTGTTTGGTGATTTCAAAAGAAACAGGAAATTGTTCTGGCTTAGATGCTGTCAGAAAGATGACTACTTCTTAATCTTATCTAGAAGGAGGGAGAAATGAAATATGGCTAAAGCTGTAAGGTAAAAAAGCCAACACATTTTAGCTGACAGGGAACTGTGTGGTGTTTTTGTGCTTAGACAAGATTTTGAAGTTTGTCTAATTTCATCACAAACACAGGATGACCTTGTTTGACACTGATTTTCTGTGAGATAGTTTATGTTCAACAAGAGTACCATGGCCTAACTATGGGCAACAGGCCAGCTCCCAGCAACACCAAAGCCTGCCAGTTATTGTCAGGCCAGTTCCCAATTCTCAGGGACTGTTTTTCTTAAAAGTATGCAAACATATAATTACAGGTTGAGATGAATCATATGAAGGAAATAAATGGGGTACTGAATAGAAACAGTAGTTGGGGAGCTACTCAAGACATGGTGGCCGGGCGCGGTAGGTCACGCCTGTAATCCCAGTACTCTGGGAGGCTGAGGCGGGTGGATCGCCTGAGGTCAGGAATTCGAGACCAGCCTGGCCAACATGGTGAAACCCTGTCTCTACTAAAATAACAACAACTAGCGAGGCGTGGTGGTGGGCATTTATAAATAATCCCAGCTACTTGGGAGGCTGAGGCAGGAGAATGGCTTGAACCCAGGAAGCAGAGGTTGCAGTTAGCCGAGATTGCACCATTGTACTCCACCCTGGGCAACAGAGCGAGACTCCATATCCAAAAAAAAAAAAGACATGGTGGCTAGGATAGACCTCTCTGAGGAATCTGTAGATGAAGGGCCCAGAACTTAGCCTTGAGGAACTCTGACATTGAATTGCTAAGTGAAGAAGGACAAGGATAAGCCAGACAAGGAGACTAAGGAGGGATGACGGAGAGGCAGGGAGAGATCTCAGAGTGTGGCGTCACCTGGCTGCTTGCTCAGTGCCAGGTACCCTGCTAAGCTCTTTATAGACATTGTCTTTGTCTTATTTAAGCTTCACATACTTTTTTGGGGGGGGAGAGGGGGTGGTTCAAGCGATTCTCCTGCCTCAGCCTCCCGAGTAGCTGGAATTACAGGTGCCCACCACCACACCCGGCTAATTTTTTGTATTTTAGTAGAGATGGGGTTTCACCATGTTGGCCAGGCCGGTCTCGAACTCCTGACCTCAGGTGATCTACCTGCCTCGGCCTCCCAAAGTGCTGGGATTATAGGCATGAGCCACCGCACCTGGCCAAGCTTTGCATACTTTCAGTGAACACTTTAGTGCCTACTGTAGGGCAAGCACTGTTTTAGGAGCTGGAGCTACATCAATAAAAAGGACAAAATCCCTGCCCATATGGAGCTTACATTGCTTTGAGGATGATAGACAATATACATAGGTAATATAATTTTAAGTAATAGTAAATGCTTCAAATGAAAATAAAGTGAAAAAAGAGGTTAGAGAGTGACAGGTGGAAGAGAACAGGTTGATACAAAGAGAGAGCTGCTTTGAGGAGGTAACACATAGAGAGAAAATTAAACGAGGGAACAAACCATATGAACACACAGAGAAAGTGCGTTCCAGGCACAGGGAACAGCAAAGGCAAAGGCCTTGATGCAGGAATGACTCTGGGGTGTTTGAAGTAAAAATAGAAGGCCAGGCCAGGCGTGGTGGTTCATGCCTGCAGTCCCAGCACTCTCAGAGGCTGAGGCAGGAGCACTGCTTGAGCTCAGAAGTTTGAGACCAGCCTGGGCAACATGGTGAGACCCTGTGTCTGCAAAAATGTTTAAAAAGTACCCAGGCCTGGTGGCGTGTGCCTGTAGTCCTAGCTAGTTGGAGGCTGAGGTGGGAGGATCCTTTGAGGTTGCAGTGAGCTATGATTATACCACTACACTCCAGCTTGAATGACAGACCAAGATCCTGGTTCAAAAAAAAAAAAAAAAGCCCAGTGTGGCTAGACTGTGGGAGATGGGATCAAGATGTTTAACAGAGGGCATATTGTACAGAGCCCTATAAACTATGGTAAAGCATTTGGATTTTATTCTGGATTTTATACTTTTTTAAATATTTTTATACTTTGAACAAATGGATTTACTTTTTTTTTTTTTCTTTTTGAGACGGAGTCTTGCTCCATCACCCAGGTTGGAGTGCAGTGGCATGATCTCAGCTCACTGCAACCTCCACCTCCCGGGTTCAAGTGATTCTCCTGCCTCAGCCTCCCAAGTAGCTGGGACTACAGGCGCCCACCACCACGCCTGGCTAATTTTTGTATTTTTAGTAGACACAGGGTTTCGCCATGTTGGCCAGCCTGGTCTTGAACTCCTGACCTTTTGATCCGCCCGCCTCAGCCTCCCAAAGTGCTGGGATTACAGGCGTGAGCCACCGCGATTGGCCCATGGATTTACATTTTAAAACCACCTCTGACTGTAGGTGTGAAGGATAGACTAGAGAATGAGAATGACAGCAGGCAGACCAGTTAGGAGGCCAGCGCAGTGCAGTGGTCCAGGGAGAAGAGACGATGGCTTGGTCAGGGTAGAGGTGGAGAGAAGTGGTTAAATTTGGGTTATGTTTTAGTCTCAGTTGATGGCAATTACATCTTTCTAGTTAACTCAGGCCAGAAATATTGGAGTCATCTTTAATTCTATTTGTCAAACATGACCTCCAATCCATTAACAAAACTTGTTGGCTCTTTTCCAAAATACATTCAGAAACCAGCCCTTTTCACACCTCCACTGCTGTCACCCTAGTCTGAGTCACCATCACCTCCTAATAGATCTCCCTGCTTCTGTCATTTCTGCCCATTCTTTGCTGCCTGCCCCCTCCCACCTCCCGCCCAGGTTGTTCTCAGCACAGCCTCCAGAGTCATCCTTTTTATTTAACAATTTAAAAAATGTTATAGGCCAGGCATGGTGGCTCACGCCTCTAATCCCAGCACTTTGGGAGGCCGAGGCAGGCGGATCACGAGGTCAGGAGTCCGAGACCAGCCTGACCAACATGGTGAAACCCCGTCTCTACTAAAAATACAAAAATGAGCCAGGCATGGTGACGCACGCTTGTAATCCCAGCTACTCAGGAGACTGAGGCAGGAGAATTGCTTGAACCCAGGAGGCAGAGGTTGCAGGGAGCCGAGATCACGCTACTGCACTCCAGCCTGGGCAACAGAGCAAGACTCTGTCTCAAAAAAATAAAATAAAATAAAAATTAAAAAATTGTATTATATACGGAGACAAGGGGTCTCGCTATGTTGCCTGGGTTGGTCACAAACCCCTGGGCTCAGGCAATTCTCCTGCCTCAGCCTCCCAAAGTACTGGCATTACAGGTGTGAGCCACTGCACCTGGCCAGGTCATCCTTTTATTTATTTTATTTTATTTTTTTTTTTTTGAGACGGAGTCTCGCTCTGTCGCCCAACCTGGAGTGCAGTGGCGGGATCTCGGCTCACTGCAAGCTCTGCCTCCTGGGTTCATGCCATTCTCCTACCTCAGCCTCCCCAGTAGCTGGGACTACAGGCGCCCGCCACCTCGCCCAGCTAACTTTTTTGTATTTTTAGTAGAGATGGGGTTTCACCATGTTAGCCAGGATGGTCTCAATCTCCTGACCTCGTGATCCACCCATCTAGGACTTCCAAAGTGCTGGCATTACAGGCATGAGCCACCGCGCCCCAGCCCAGGTCATCCTTTTAAAATGTAGGTTGGATCACATCACTCTGCTCAGAACTCTGCAGTGACTTCCATTTAAATCAACAGAAGAAGCCAAAATCCTTAAGATAATTTAAAAGACCTTTCCCAATCCAGACCCTGCTTTACTTCTCTTTTCACCTTTCCCACAACTCTGGCTCACTCATGCCACTCCAGCCCCTCTTGCCTCCTTCCTGTTTGTTCCCCATGTATGTCCGAACACTCCTGTCACAGGGCTTTACTCCAGCTGTTTCTTATGCTAGAAAGGCCCTTCTCCTGGAAATCCATGTGGCCAAAACTAATCTTCTTTAATGATTTGCTTGAATTTCACTTTACTGAGGCCTCATTTAAGACTAAAATCTGTCCTCTTGATACTTTTAAACTTGATCCATATTTTCTTTTATCTATAGGATCATCTCCCCTGCTGGAAACGTAATCAGAGATCTTTATTTTATTCAGTAGTATCCCAAGAGCGTAGAAGAGTGCCTGGCACATACTATACACTCAATAAATATATTTGTTGAACAGATGAATGAAAAAATGAGGCAGACTTAGCTGGCTGATGGATTGATTAGGGGAGGAGGAATGGAGAAAGAGGATGATGACCTTTCAGTTTTGGCCCAAATAACTGAATGACCTGTGGTGCAATTTCTTGATGGGGAAGCCTGGAAGAGACAGGATTTAGGAGTAAGAACAAGAGCTCCATTTTGTACGTATGAGAGAGATTTATTAAAGATCTCAGAGAAGATGTCCCATAAGCAGTTGAATTCATGAGCCTGGAGCTCGGGGCAGAAGTTGGGGGCCAGCAAGAGAAGTTTGGGAATCTTCATTGGTTATAGATGGTATTTAAAGTCAGGAGGTGATAGGTGATAAGTCTAGATTAAGGAGAGTGTCAAAGATTTAGCCCTGAGGCACTTCAACATTTAGACTTCAGGAGAAGCCCATTAGATGCAAAGGAAACCTATAGAGAGTAGTGTCCCTGAAGAAAACAAAGGAGGGAGGGAGCGACCAAGTCTATCAAACATTGATGGGAGAGTGAGTAGGATGGCCCCAGATCTGTTGACTTTGGCAAGTGTGAATTCAGACAATGGTGGCAACAAAAGCATGATTGTAGTGGTTTGAGAGCTGACAGAACTACAGGAGCACCTTGCTCAAGCTCCCATATTAAGTGGTAGAGTTAGAAGTGAACCAAAGTCTTGATTGTGGTGATAGTTTACTGGGTTTATGCAGGTCAAAACTTATTTAAGTGATACTTTGCAGTTTATTTTGGGTGCCATTTTATTTTGTGTACAGTTTATTGTATGTCAATTATATCTCAGTAAAGCTGTTACCAAAAAAAATAAATGAACCGAAGCTCCACTGCACCGTGACTTCTGCATGTTGGGCTCCAGTTCCCTGTTTACAATTGTACACTTCGGGATTTTGTGACACATTTCAACACTGGACCGATCAGACCTCTCCCTTAGCCATTGGTCTGCACTGTCTTTTCTGCCCATGACCCAGTCAGTCTCGCGCCCCATGACCCTCTCCTAAAACACGCGCAGTCTCCTCTCTCTTCCCCTTCCTCTCGTGTCTTCCTTGCCTACCAGCCTCACCTGATGGGCTCGTGTTCTCTCCGTCCCCGATCCACTCGGGCTCCGGCAGCTGCTGCTTGGGCGCCTTCGGCATCGCGGTGGCAGAACTAGAAACGAGTTACAGATAGAAACTAGAATATGCTTTTTAAAAAAACAAAAAACAAAACAAACAAAAAAACAGTATGCCTCAACTCCTTCATACTAGTAGGAAATTATTATGTTCATTCCTTGAGTCTCGCGGCGTCGGGAGGTCACGGCGTCAGGCTTCCCAGACAGTCGTAAACGCCATGTGTTTACGCGACTGGAGCAAGCGGACGCCGGCCCCGCTCCGTCATTGCAGGCCACGCCTCCACTGAACCAGGGCCACGCCCCCGAGATGACGGCGAAGCTCGCACGTGCGCAGCCCGGGGGCGGGGTTGGCCGCGCCAGCTTGGAGAGCCAGCCCCATCGGGGTTCCCCGCCGCCGGAAGCGGAAATAGCACCGGGCGCCGCCACAGTAGCTGTAACTGCCACCGCGATGCCGAAGGCGCCCAAGCAGCAGCCGCCGGAGCCCGAGTGGATCGGGGACGGAGAGAGCACGAGCCCATCAGGTGAGGCTGGTAGGCAAGGAAGAAACGAGCAGAGGGGGAAGAGAGAGGAGACTGCGCGTGTTTTAAGAGAGGGTCATGGGGCACGAGACTGACCGGGCCCGTGCGGGAGTTACTGCGCATGCGTGCCGTGGGCCCGGGAGGAGTTTGCCGGGGAGGAGTGGGTTTGGAATCGGGGTTAAAGGAAAGAGATCCAGATGTCGCACGTGACCTAAGTGAGACTGGGCGAGATAAAAGAAAGAGCATATGGCACCGAGGGAGAGATGGGGAGAAATGGGAAAACCTTGCTTAAAAAATTTGGACATCCGCCCCACCATACACTGTATTCCACCAGGAATATATGAGCCCTGCCTCGACCTCCCCTTCCCCCTGCGCGCGCATACACACACCTTGGGAGCCTGTGATCCCCCTTGTTTCTCAAGAGAGGGTGACTCCTTCATGGTTTCTTTCTTAAGACACCCCTCTCACTCAACTGGAGCAAGAGTGTAGATTTTTGATGTTGGAATGAGGGTTAAGGTTTACTTAAAAAGCAGCGAAAGTTTGTTAAGCGCTTGTTTTTAATTAAGCACTCTATATACTGTGCTTTGAGAGGGGAAGGAAAAAAACATGAAGATATCTTCCCAGGGTTGAAGTCAGTTTTAAGGGGGACATAAATGGACACAACTAACCCCAGTAGGTACACAGTAACTAATTTTAAAAGCACTTATTGGATGCCTACTGTATACCAGGTACTGTGTGGAGGAAGTGGGAATGTAGAGATAAAAGATAAGACTTTCCCTCAAGGGACAACCCAGTATGGTGAAGGGTCAGAGCATTAACCAGACAGACAGTGGTTGTCAGAGTATGATGAAGGTGCTTAAGAATGTTATGGGACTGTAGAAGAGAGGAGGAGCATCTACTCAGACAGGTAAGGGAGTGTCAGCAAAGCCTCCCAAGAATATGTAATAGCTGAGTATTTTTTTTTGAGGCACATTGTAGCTCCATCACCCAGGCTGGAGTGCAGTGGCATGAACATGGCTCACTGCAGCCTCCACCTCCTGGGTTTAAAGGATCTTCCTGCCTCAGTCTCCCAAGTAGTTGAGACTACTGGCATGCACCACCACACCTTATTTTTAAAATTTTTTGTAGACACAAGATCTGGCTATGTTGCCTAGGCTGGTCTCAAACTCCTGGGCTCAAGTAATTCTCCTGCCTCAGCCTCCAAAAGTGCTGGGATTACAGGCGTGAGCCACTACATCTGCTCCCCAGAGTTTATTCTTGAAAGATCATCGTGAATTAGCAAGGGGAAGCGCATTCCAAGCCAAGGAAGTTTGTGGAAGGTAGAGATGTAGGCAAGCCTGACTGGTCCCACTAGAGCCTGGTGACTAGTGTGATGAAGTCAGAAAGATGCTCAGGAGACAGATAATGAAAGGCTTTAGATGCCATTCCGAGGAGTTTAATCCTAAAGACATTAAGAAGGAAGGCCCATTGAAGTGCATAAGGAATGATTATGAACAGTTCACCTGTAGCACTGAGCAATGGAGAATGAATGGCCTTGAACTGGTCAAGATGGAGGTGGGGAGACCATTTAGGGGGCTCTGGCCATGATCTAGGTGAGAAGTGGTAAGGGGATAAGCCAAGGCCTGAAGAATAAAGAGTTACTAAGGAGGCGGCATTGATCGGAACTGAGAACTGATTAAATGAAGGGAGAAGTAAGGTTGACACTTAAGTAACCCAGTGACTAGTAGACTATTAACTGAAAGCAGTAATGGACAGGAGAGTAAGAAGTGGAAAGAGATAAGGTGAACTTCTGAATGCTGAGTTAGGCGTTTCTGAGGATTTCTAAAAGGAAATGGCAAGAAGAGAGTTTGTTTAGTCACTGTGGAGAGACAACTATACTAGGAGTAAAGACACAGGCAAGTATAGTTGAAGTGCTGGATATGGAAGAGTCCCCTAGAGAGTGTTTGCAGATTGAACCAAAAAGAAGGTTAAAGGTGGGAACCCTAAAGAACTTCAGCAATTGCAGGAAGCAGGTGGGGAAGGAGGCTGAAGAGATGAGACTGAGAAAGGCAAACAGCCAGAGAAACTGGAGGCAAACCAGGAGTGAGCAAGATCCCAGAAATTAAATAATGATAGAAGAGAATAAAAAAGGTGTGGAGGTAGGCAGCATGGAATGCTGCAGAGAAGTCAGGCAAAATAAGGACCAAAAAATACTTTGTGGTTTGAGGAGCTAAGGGTTCAGTGGCAACTTTGGCAGAAGTAGTGTTCATTCGGAGATGATACCAGATTGCAGTATGTTTCAAAGGTATGGGAGAAGAGAAAGTGAAGCTTGTGAATTACGATTTTGAGACCCAATGAGGACAAGAATACGAAACAGTAATGGGGGAGAGGGGTATAAGGGTAAAGAAGGCTTGCTTTCTTGCCTTGAAGGAGCAGCTTAAGCGATATACGAAAGGAGAGAAGACACAGTATATCTCTAGCCACACTTAATCTTTTTCAGTTCCTTGGGGATTATACTTTCTCACAATGAAACTCTTCAGAGGCTTTTCCTGTCCCTATAATGAAGTGGATAAGAGTGATTAAAGTACAAAAGATTTTTTTGGTTTTGGTGGGTTTTTTTTTTTTGTGACGGAGCCTCACTCCAGGCTGGAGTGCAGTGGCGCGATCTCAGCTCACTGCAGCCTCAATCGCAGGCTCAAGCCATCTTCCCTTGTAGCTGGGACTACAGGCACACACCGCCATGCCTGGCTTATTTTTTGTTTGTTTTTGTTTTTTGTTTTCTGTAGAGATGAGGTCTTGCTATGTTGCCCAGGCTAATCTTGAACCTCTGGCCTCAACCAGTCCTCCCACCTTGGTCCCCAAAATGTTGGGATTACAGGCGTGAGCCAGTGTGCCTGGCCACAAAAGAGATTTAAAGGAAGGAGAGATGGTATGGCTGTGTTAGTCCTTGGGGAGAAATTAGTGTCTGGGATGAGTCAGTCATCTGTGTTGATAAGGTGAGCTGATCAGGTTTTTCCTTCTTAGGTACTTCAGTAGATCCTTCCTCCTAATGCCTTTAGGATTAAACTCCTTGGAATAGCATATAAAGCCTTTTATTATTAATCCTGCACAATTTTTCAACTCTCACACTAGTCACCCAATACTGGGCTCAGATTTTTTTTCTTTAACTTTTTTGTTTGTTTTTTGTGGTTTGTTTTTTGGGGAGGAGGAGGGCCCCAAACTTTGAAATGTGTTCTGGATGGAGGATGCAGATTAAGCAAAGACAGACATAAGCGTGCCTGGGACTTCATAAAGGAACAGAAAGAAGCCAGTATCGAGACCAGAGGTGTGGGTAGGGAAACAGAAAAGATAGGGTAGGGCCATTTTAGTCTGTGAAGCCTTTAATTATTGGAATTGTCTCTCGTTAACTCTAGTTTTTTGGAGAAGTAGATGCACCATAAAACTTTCCTGAATAAATGATTACTTTGAAATACATGGAATTCTAGTCTGAGAATATTTTAATGTAGTAGATGGCGGATACCATTGACTTTTTTTCTTTTTTTTTTTTTTTTTTGAGACAGTCTCGCTGTGTCACCCAGGCTGGAGTGCAGTGGCGCGATCTTGGCTCACTGCAACCTCCACCTCCCAGGTACAAGCGATTCTCCTGCCTCAGCTTCCCAAGTAGCTGGGACTACATGCGTGCTCTACCACGCCCAGCTAATTTTTGTATTTTTAGTAGAGATGGGGTTTCACCATGTTGGCC